>NC_000012.12:113369218-113520734 GCF_000001405.40 Homo sapiens
AAGGTGGGGACATGGGGCTCCCACCCTGCCCCAGCCCCACAAGCATGTTCCCCAGTGTGCTTTTGAGATGTGTGCAGAGTAGGCCCCCAACTCCTGCCACAGCCCTTCATCTATCTGGGGAGAAAAAGTGGACATGCATTCTTTAGAAAATTACACTAGGGGCCGGCCACTGCACCTGGCTCTCACCCACTTCTGATATTGTCTGACTTCTTATAAAGCTCAATAACAAGTAAAGCAAAATAGTATGTTGTTCAGGGACTCATCACATGCAGTAAAACTAGCTTAACAAAAGTAAGGGAGTAGGCACAACTCGAATGCCCAGCTGCTGATGAATGGATACATACAACGTGATCTATCATACAATGCAACATTATTCAGCTATAAACGGGAATAAAGGACTGACGCACACCAGAACATGAAAGAACCTTGAAAACATGCTAAACGAAAAAAACCAGTCACAAAAGGGCACATACTGTATGATTCTGTTTATATAAAATGTTCAGAATAAGCAAATCTACAGAGACAGAAAGCCAACTAGTGGTGCCAGGGACTTGGGGGGAGTGGGGAGTGGGGAGTGACTGCTGATGGGTATGGGGTTTCTTTCTGGGATGATGAAAATGTTCTGGAGTTAGAGAGTGGTGATAGTTGCACAACCTTATGAATACATTAAAAACCATGAATTGTACTTTTTTTTTTTTTGAGACAGAGTCTTGCTCTGTCACCCAGGCTGGAGTGCAGTGGTGTGATCTCGGCTCACTGCAACCTCTGCTTCCCAGGTTCAAGTGATTTTCCTGCCTCAGCCTTCCGACTAGCTGGGATTACAGATGTGCACAACCATGCCCACCTAATTTTTGTATTTTTAGTAGAGGTGGGATTTCGCCCTGTTGGCCAGGCTGGTCTCAAACTCCTGACCTCAAGTGATCCGCCCACCTCGGCCTCCCAAAGTGCTGGGATTACAGGTGTGAGCCACTGTGCCTGGCCAAATTGTACATTTTTAAATGTGAATTTTATGGTATGCTGACTATATCTCAATATAAATGACTGAATGAAAGGGAATGATAGCTACCGCATTTAGGGTGGTGGGTGCCTCTAGGGATAGAGGAGGCAGGGGCTTAGGGGATGCTCAATGGTATCAGTACCATTCTAGGTTTTAGTTTGGATGTTCATTTTATTATCATGCTTCATAACTTAGAATATGTTATATATTTTTTCTGTGTATCAGATAGTACCTAGTGTAATTTTCTTTTTCTTTTCTTTTTTTTTTTTTTTTTTTTTTGAGACAGAGTCTCACTCTGTCACCTAGACTGGAGTACAGTGGCGTGATCTTGGCTTACTGCAACCTCTGCCTCCCTGGGTTCAAATGATTCTCATGCCTCAGCCTCCAGAGTAGCTGGAATTACAGGCATGCACCACCACGTCTGGCTAGTTTTTGCATTTCAAGTAGAGATGGGGTTTTGCCATGTTGGCCAGGCTGGTCTCAAACTCCTGACCTCAAGTGATCTGCCCACCTCGGCTTCCCAGAGTGTTGGGATTACAGGTACGAGCCACCTGGCCTAGGCTAGGCAGACATGCTATCAGGCATTGATGACCACTTTACAGAGACAGCTTGTCATGTGTACTTCACAGTAAACACCGACATTTTCCAGGGAATCCATAAATTACTGACTTTTCCATTGATGGCCTAACCAGTGGCCCAAAGGCAGAGCACCTGCCTGTAATCCCAGGATGTTGGGAGGCTGAGGAGGGAGGACTGCTTGAGCTCAGGAGTTGGAGGCTGCAGTGAGCTAGGATTGTACCACTGTACTCCAGCCTTGTGACAGAATGAGACCTTGTCTCAAAAAAATGAAACAAAACAAAACCACACAAAAAACAAAACAAGAAGTAGGCGAGGCTGTGGAGTGACAGCTGTCTCCTGTGATGCAGATGGAGGCATGCATTGGGTCACAAGTTGACATCAACTTGTGGAGTTGAACCTGCATGTGCCTTAGGATCCAGCAGCCCTACTACTTGGGTGCATACCTTAGAGGTGACCCACGGACATGCACAAGGTACTCAAAGCAGTCCCAAAGTGGGAGTCCTTAAAACACCATGGGCAGGTGAATGGCTGACCAGGTGGAGGTGCACAGTGCAGCATGACAGAGCAGTGGAAATGGGTGAATCTGAGATGCCTGGAGGCGAGGGGGAAAGAGCACATCACAGAGGACAACGTCCAGTGGGACACCCTTTTATAAAACTCACACTGCTCCTTCTGACACCCAGTCGCAGTTGTGGGTGGCCCTCTGGGACCTTAGTGTCTGGGGAAGTGGTCAGATGCTGGGCCAGGGCTGTTGTGGGTGCTCAGTGGTGAATGAGACACGGTTCAGTCTCTCAAGGGGCTCACGGCCTGCTGGGGACACTGAGGCAAGGCCACAAGTGGCTCTTATGTCAGGAATCCCAGGCCCATGTGCCAGGCACTTTGCCCACAAAGTCTCACTGAGCCTCCACCCTAAACCCCTGAGGGAAGCATGTGCACCTCCCCTGGATGGATGGGCAGGCTTGGGCCCAGAGAGGTGAAGCTACTTTCACAAGGTCAGCCAGCCAGTCCACAGAGGAGGCACCATTCAACCTCAGCTCTGTCTAACCCACGTCTCGCTCCTAACTAGTGTGCCCTGCTGCCTCCCCCTCTAGCCTGTGGCCTTCTTGTGGGTGGTAATATGTCTTGTCCCCAGCTGTGTCCCCTGATCCCAGCCCAGAACCTGGTATAGGACAGGCAGTGGGGAAATGCTGTGGAAGTCATGGAGGCCTGCATGGAGGAGGTGGTGTCTTAGTGGGCCTTGAAGGATGAACAGGATTTGGATGTGTTTCAGTGAGATGGTGATGGAGCAGCAGTCATGAAGCCATCAATCCTGAGGCAGTGAGTGCTGCCACTCACTCACGGGGATGACCAGGCTACGTGGTCTTTTGTCCCCCAGCAGGCGAGCCTGGACTCATGCAGGTGGCATCTCGGTGGGAAGTGCAGAGGGCCGCATGAAGTCTGGGTGAAACTGCCACGGCATTCTCTTGCCCAGTGGAATCAGAAGGGTTATTGCTGTTTTGTTCCCTGCTATGTCCTCAGTGCTTAAAAAGGAACATAATAGGTGCTCAAAAAAAAAACATTCATGGATTGACTAACTGAACACACATATAGATTGGGGTCCCCAGTAGCAGAGGTGGTGCCATCAGTTATAGGCTTTGCAGGCTAAAGGCTCTCAGGGCAACTTCCAGGGGCCTGGGGTCCCTATCCGGGGCAGAGCTGGGCAGGGAGAGGAGCCTCCAGGGAGAGGACAGCATGAGCAAGGACTCAGGTGGCCACACCAGCAGCCTCCGCTCTGGGGCAGCCTGGGTGGGGGGCTCTCAGGGAAGAGAGCACCCCAGCTGCCCGCCCTTGCCTCGCCCACCCCCTACCCCACAGCTCATCTACATGCACTGGATGAACACGGTGGTGAATTACTGCGGCCCCTTCGAGTATGAAGTCGGCTACTGCGAGAGGCTGAAGAGCTTCCTGGAGGCCAACCTAGAGTGGATGCAGGAAGAGATGGAGTCAAACCCAGACTCACCTTACTGGCACCAGGTGAGTCCTGCTGCCACGCTTGGTGGGAGGGGGCTTCCAGCTGGCCAGCCATCCTGTCTCCTGTTGTTCTGGCCAGCCTTGTGGCATGTCCAGCTGCCCAGCCGCCTCTGTTTCCATCATCATCTCCATCCCTCCTAGCCGACCTGCCACTCATCCATCTGCCCAGTCTCCATCTGTCCACTTGCTGGAACTCCAGCCATCCATCCTAGCCTACCTACAGTTAAATAATGACCAAAAACAAATAGTCAGTTGTTAGCATGGTGTTTTGCTTGTGTACATATGGTGTTTTGCTTGCATACAAGGGAGGTTGCTTGGTAGATTGATTACATTGGATGCAAGTAAAGACAGTATGAGAAAGAGGGGAAGGGGAAAACCAGAAAATCCCAGAAAGTCTGGACACAGTGAATTTTGTTTTCCTTTCCTTGAGTGAGCTGCTGATCAGCTGGCAGCTAACGGAGAGGCCCAGGCAGGCTCTCTGCCTTTGGGCCACTGGCTAGGCCATCATTGGAAAAGTCAGTTATTTATGGATTCCCCGGAAAATGTCAGGTGTTTGCTGTGAGGTACACACGGCAGGCTGTCTCTGTAAAGTGGCCATCAATGCCTGTTAGCATGTCTGCCTAGCCTAGGCCAGGTTTGCACCATTTTCCTCTGTAGAACTTCTCACTGTTTACCCACCCACCTACTCACACCCTAAGACAGACTCTTCTACCACCAACCCATCTACCTGTCCATTCCACACATCCACCACCCATCCATCCACCCATCCATCCATCCATGCATCCATCCATCCATTCATCCACCTACCCACCCACTCACCCATCTACCTATCCATCTATTCACTCACTCATCCATCCGTTCATTTACCCACCCATTTACCCACCCATCCATCCATCCTCCATCCACCCATCCTTCCACCCACCCACCCACTCACTCATCTACATATCTATCCATTCGCTCACTCACTCATCCATCCATCCATTTACCCACCCATTCATCTATCCATTCACACACCCGTCCATCCATCATCCATCCATCTACCCATACATACATACATCCACCCACCCACCCACCCACTCATCCACCCATCCATTCACCTCCCACCTGTCAACCCACTCACCCACCCATACATACATACATCCACCCACCCATCCATTCATCCAACAACCCACCCATCCATCTTGCAGATGCTTACTAAGTGCCCAGTGTGCCTGCCCAAGGCCCCATGAGGGACACACTGATGATACTTTATGGCTATAGGATGTTGAGGCAAAATGATGACAATGGGGAGAAGTCAGATGCATGAGACAGGTGCCCGAGGCAGCAATACAGTCAGTACTGAACTCAGAACAGGAGCAGTTGGCAAGAGGCCAGGCCAGGCTGGGAGGCGTCCTAGAAGAGATGGCTTTTGAACTAGGCTCTTAAGTGGGGCTGATTTGGGGTTAACACAGGGCAGAGACATAGAGTTAATTCATTGAAAGCAGGAGAGTGCTCAGCATGGAGGGGTGGGTGGTAGTTTGGGGGAGTCAAGGCTGGCTGGAGTCTGGAGGGTACCCCCGGGCCTCCTGCTCTGTCTGAACCCCCAGGCCAGAGCCCGTCCCGTTGAAGGAGAAGGTGTGAGCCTGGAGGAGAGGCCTCACCCTCCCTCTGCCCCCGCCCCCTCCCCTAGGTGCGGCTGACCCTCCTGCAGCTGAAAGGCCTGGAGGACAGCTACGAAGGCCGTGTGAGCTTCCCAGCTGGGAAGTTCACCATCAAACCCTTGGGGTTCCTGTAAGTGCCACCCCCAGAGTGAACAGGGTGGGAAGAAGGGCCACACACTCATAGTCGGACAGACCTGGGTTCCAGCATCAACCTTGCCACTCCCTGGCTCTGTGGCCTTGGAACAGTCAGCTGACTTCCCAGAGCCTCAGCTTTCTCCTCTGCAAAATGAGTACATAACAGCACTCACAGCAGGCGTGGTAACCCTCTGATGCCCTGGCCCTCCTCAGCCTGCTGCAGCTCTCTGGGGACCTGGAAGACCTGGAGCTGGCCCTGAACAAGACCAAGATCAAACCTTCTCTGGGCTCTGGCTCCTGTTCTGCCCTCATCAAGCTGCTCCCTGGCCAGAGTGACCTCCTGGTTGCCCACAACACCTGGAACAACTACCAGCACATGCTGCGTGTCATCAAGAAGTACTGGCTCCAGTTCCGGGAAGGCCCCTGGGGTAGGTGGGTGTGGGTGTGTCTGGGGGATGAGCAGGTGGGTGGGCACACACGTGGGGAGTGGTCCTAGGAGGTTTGGGCCTTGGAAACCCTCCCAACACACGGAGTCACTGCAGGGATATTCCAAGAGTTCATTTTGGTTTTGTTTTTTTCTTTTTGAGTTGGGGTCTTGCTCTGTTGCCCAGGCTGGAGTACAGTGGCACAGTCATGGCTCACTGTAGCCTTGACTTCCCAGGCTCAGATTATCCTCCTGCCTCAGCCTCCCAAGTATCTGGAACTACAAATGTGTACCACCACACTCAGCTAATTTGTTTATTTTTTTATTTTTAAGAGATGGAGTCTCACTATGTTGCCCAGGCTTGTCTCAAACTCCTGGGCTCAAGTGATCCTCCTGACTTGGCCTCCCAAAGTGCTGTGATTACTTATGTGAGCCACCACGCCTAGCCAGTTCATCTTGTTTTACATGTTTATTGCCTTTTTTATTTTACCTATTGCTGCTTAACCAGTTACCCCAAAATTTAAAACAACAACAGCTTAAATAACCGCTATTTATTTTTTGCTCCTGCCTCTATGGGTCAGCTAGGTGGTTTTGGTTTTCTGGGCTGGGCCAGGCTGATCTTGGCTAGGCTCACTGATGCATCAGCAGTCTGCTGGCAGGTCAGCTGGGGTGGGATGGCTGGAATGGGATGGCCTCTTCTCCTGTCTGGGGTTGATTGTCAGCCAGGGTGATGGGGACAGCTGGGCTACGTGGTCTTTCATCATCAGTAGGTGAGCACAGGCCTGTTCATGTAGCACTGGGGCAGGATATGGTAAAGGCCTCTTGAGACCTTGGTGAAACTGACACAGCATTCTTTTCTTTTTATTTTGAGACAGAATCTTGCTCTGGTGCCCAGGCTGGAGTGCAGTGGCATGATCTCAGCTCACTGCAACCTCTGCCTCCCGGGTTCAGGCAATTCTCCTGCCTCAGCCTCTCGAGTAGCTGGGACTACAGGCGTGCATCACCATGCCCAGCTAATTTTTGTATTTTTAGCAGAGACAGGGTTTTCCCATATTGGCCAGGCTGGTCTTGACCTCCTGACCTCAAGTGATCTGCCCACTTTGGCCTCCTAAAGTGCTTGGATTACAGGTGTGAGCCACCGCACCTGGCTTGACACAGCATTTTTTTTTTTTTTTTTTGAGACAGAGTCTTGTTCTGTTGCCTAAGCTGGAGTGCAGTGGCACAATCTCAGCTCACTGTGACCTCTGCCTCCTGGGTTCAAGTGATTCTCCTGCCTCAGCCTCCCAAGTAGCTGGGATTATAGGCGCGCACCACTGTGTCTGGCTAATTTTTGTATTTTTAGTAGAGACGGGGTTTTGCCATGTTGGCCAGGCTGGTCTTGAACTCCTGACCTCAGGTGATACAGCCGCCTCGGCCTCCCAAAGTACTGGGATTAAAGGTGTGAGCCACCGCACCTGGCTGACACAGCATTCTTTATCCAAATCAAGTCAGGTGGCCAGCCCAGGCTCAAGAGATGGGAGAATAGGCTCCACCATTTGCTATGAGGAACTGCAGAGTCACATCACATATGGCTTGGATGCAGGCATGGGAAGAATTAGAGCTATTTTTGCAAACAACCAATTGCAAGGATTGCATGAATACATTCTTCCTGTCAAATGTGAAAACTGGCTGGGCACGGTGACCCATCCCCGTAATCCCAGCGCCTTGGGAATTCGAAGCAGGAGGATTGCTTGAGCCCAGGAGGTTGAGGCTGCAGTGAACAGTGATCACGCCATGACACCCCAGCCTGGGTGACAGTGCAAGACCTTGTCTCTAATAAAGAAAAAAACAGTTTTACAGTCAAGGCCAAAGTCCTCCATAGTGCCACATCCTTCATCCCAGGCCCCAGCATCAGCCCCAGGGATACCACTGCCAAATGTTTGCAGTACCTCCTTCATGGCCAAATGTAAAAACTTGATGGGACCAGGAGCTGGTGAGGAGGTGGGGAAGTGTCCAGCCTTATTCATTGCTAATGGGAGTATGCGTTGGCACAGCTACTTTTAAGAGGAATCCAGCTGGCATCTAATAAAATTCAAAATCTGTCACTCCAGTGATCCAGCAATTCTCTGACTCCAGTCTGTCCCTAGAGAGACATTTCAGCTTCTGCATGGGGAGTGTGTATAAGCAAGTCTGCTATCACAGTGGTTTGGTGACAACCTAATGTCCATTCATTGAAATTTAAGTAAACTCTAAATTGACATTTATACAGGAAATCGTATACACTGTAAGTGTACAACTTGAATTTCTTGCACGTGGAACACACCTGTGTATAGCATCCATCTGGAGAAACAGAACATTCCCAGCCCCTAGAAGCTTCCCTCGTATCCCTTTCCAGGCACACCCCCACCCCAGCATCATCTCTGTCCTGATTTCTGTTTTTTGTTTGTTTGTTTGTTTTGTTTTTAAACAGTCTTGCTCTGTCACCCAGACTAGAGGGCAGTAGTGCAATCTCGGCTCACTGCAACCTCTGCTTCCTAGGTTCAAGCGATTCTTCTGCCTCAGCCTCCTGAGTAGCTGGGATTACAGGCACACACCACCACACCCAGCTAATTTTTGTATTTTCCGTAGAAATGGGGTTTCGCCATGTTGGCCAGGCTGGTCTTGAATACCTGACCTCAAGTGATCCAACCGCCTGTCCTGATTTCTCACAGAATAGGTTAGGTTTGCCTGGTTTTGAATGTCATATGAATGGAATCATGTAGTGTGTGCTCATTTGTTCTGCATGTCTGTGAGATTCATCTGTATTACTGTGTGTAGCTGTAGATCTATCATTCTCATTGCTATATATCCATTAAAATTTTAATAGCTTTTAAAAACATACTGTATAAGTCATACAGGTATGTTATAGAACATTGGAGAATCCACCAAAACACTCTCACAATGAAAATCACTTGAACACTCCACAACCCAAAAGAGAACATTTCTGTGAACATTTGGTTATGTTTTCTCCTAGACTTTAAAAAATGTACCTTGCCTGGGCACAATGGCTTATGCCTGTAAACCCAGCACTTTGGGAGGCCAAGGCAGGTGGAACACTTGAGGTCAGGAGTTCGAGACTGGCCAACATGGTGAAACCCCATCTCTACTAAAAATACAAAAACTAGCTGGGCGTGGTGGCGCACACCTGTAATCCCAGCTACTCGGGAGGCTGAGGCCCCAGAATTGCTTGAACCGCGAAGGCAGAGGTTGCAGTGAGCCAAGATGGTGCCACTGTACTCCAACCTAGGCAACAGAGTCGGCCTCTGTCTCAAAAAAAAAAAAAAATTTCCAAGGGTGGGCTTCATGCATGGAATGGGGTGCTATACCCATCATTGTAGTATTATACAGAATAGTTTCACTGCTCTAAAATGTTTGCTTTCTGAGTTTTTTTAAAATCATAATTAAGATTATACTGTATGAATTATTTGCGACTTCCTTCTTTTGCCCACTAGGCTGCCTTGGAGAGTTGCCAGTACTGCCATGTTTGGTCCACTGTGCGTTTTGTTTTTCAAATTACTTATTTTGAGACAGGGTCTCACTGTGTTGCCCAGGCTGGTCACAAACTTCTAGCCTCAGGTGATCCTCCTGCCTCAGCCTCCCAAAGCACTGGGATTTCAGGTGTGAGCCTCTGCGCTGGGTCCCACTGTGCCTTTTTCCTTTCCTTTTTTTTTTTTTTTTCTTTGAGACAGAGTCTCACTCTGTTGCCCAGGCTGGAGTGCAGTGGCACAATCTCGGCTCACTTCAACCTCCGCCTCCCAGGTTCAAGCAATTCTCCCACTTCAGCCTCCTGAGTAGCTGGGACTACGGGCATGCACCCCCAACCTGGCTAATTTTGTATTTTTAGTAGAGATGGGGTTTCACCATGTTGGTAAGGCTGGTCTCAAACTCCTGGCCTCCTGACCTTGGCCTTCCAAAGTGCTGGGATTACAGGCGTGAGCCACTGTGCCCGGCCTACTGGTCCCTTTGTTTTAAAGTGCAAAGACTTAATGTGGAAGAGATAATTCAGGCCAGACGCGGTGGCTCATGCCTATAATTCTAGCACTTTGGGAGGCCGAGGCTGGTGGATCACTTGAGGTCAGAGTTCGAGACCAGCCTGGCCAATGTGGTAAAACCATGTCTCTACTAAAAATACAAAAATTAGCTAGACATGGTGGTAAATGCCTGTAATTGCAGTTACTCGGGAGGCTGAGACAAGAGAATCACTTGAACCTGGGAGGCAGAGGTTGCAGTGAGCCGAGATCCCCCCACTGCACTCTAGCCTGGGCAACAGAGCAAGACTCTGTCTCAAAAAAAAAAAAAAAAAAAAAAAGACAAAGGATAATTCAGAGAGCTACACCCAGAACTCTGGAGCACTGTAGGGAAGAGGTCTGGGTAGAATCCCTGCTCAGCCATTTAACTGTTTGGCCTCTGCTAAGTTACTTAGCCTTTCTGAGTCTCAGATTGCCTTATCTGCAAAGTGCAGATGATAATTCTCTGCCCCCATGCAGGGCGGGTATAAGGAGTCAATTTACAAGATCACAGGGGTAATGAGCCTCCAGCATAAGCGTGAGGTCACAGTAGCCCTGCTGCAGACAGTGCATAAAACCAGACTAGCACTTGTCAAGGGATGGGTTTCAGGTAGAAGGAGTTCTAGGGCAGGGGTGAGGGTACCTGCCGGGGGTGGGCCTGTAATCCCAGCTACTCGGGAGGCTGAGGCAGGAGAAGCGCTTACAACTGGGAGGTGGAGGTTGCAGTGAGCTGAGATCGCCCCATTGCACTCCAGCCTGGGCAAAAAGAGCGAAACTCTGTCTCAAAAAAAAAAAATGTCCAGTGAACAAAATATTTATCTGTTTGTCTATCTATCTGAGTATATATATTTAACACATACACATATACCCACGCACACACAGAGTTGTCCCTTGGTGTTGGGGAGGGAGTTGACTCCAGGAGCCCCTGTGGAAGCTCAGGTCTCTTCTATAATACGGCTGACTGTTTACCTATAACATATACATATCCTCCCATATCCTATAATCATCTCTAGATTACTTGTAAGACCTAATACAATGCTACATTAATAGTTGTTATACTGTATTTTTAAAATTTGTTTTATCTTTTAGTGTTATTTCTTTTATTTATTTATTTATTTATTTTTTTTAGATGGAGTCTCACTCTGTCGCCCAGGCTGGAGTGCAGTGGCGCGATCTCGGCTCGCTGCAAGCTCTGCCTCCCGGGTTCACGCCATTCTCCTGACCCAGCCTCCCAAGTAGCTGGGACTATAGGCGCACGCCACCACGCCTGGCTCATTTTTTGTATTTTTAGTAGAGACGGGTTTCACCGTGTTAGCCAGGATGGTCTTGGTCTCCTGACCTCGTGATCCGCCTGCCTTGGCCTCCCAAAGTGCAGGGATTACAGGTGTGAGCCACTGCACCCAGCTGTGTTGTTTCTTTTTAATCATGTTTTTTTCCTAGTATTTTTGGTCCCCAGTCGATTGAATCCAAGGATGTGGAACCCACGGACATGGAGGGCCAACTATATAAGTTTTGCTGCTAGCTTTTATTTTTACTTGCACGTATATGCACTTTTATATGCCCAATGACCTCATTTGCTAAATGACAAAAAGGACACAGTGGGGGCTTCCTCGGAGGCCTGCCTGTGCCCCTGTGCCTGTGTCTTGTTAGGTAGGGTGCAGGGGCCTCCACCTGTGCCTGTCTGACCAGCATCCCTGGCTCGCTCTGCCTGCACAGGGGACTACCCGCTGGTTCCCGGCAACAAGCTGGTCTTCTCCTCCTACCCCGGCACCATCTTCTCCTGCGACGACTTCTACATCCTGGGCAGTGGGCTGGTGAGTCCCTTTCTCATGTCTCCTCTGTTCCTGGGGTGTTTGTCACACGGCGGCTCTGAGCTGGCAGGATTGATTCCTGCGGCAAGTGGGGACCAGGCTGCAGCCCAGTGCTGGGTGCCATGTAGGAGCCAGGGGTGCAGTGGAGGATGAGGTGGACGCTGCCCCACCTGCCATTCAGAGCCCAGACTCGCCCTTCCCCTGCTCTGGGGACTTGGACCACCACAAGGGCGTGTTTAAACATAGACCCCCAGGCCCCGCACAGGGCCTCCAAAACCTGCAGATGGCCTGGGACTCTGCATGTAACCCTGGTTGTCAGGAAAGGCTGGACTTGGGGATGTTTGGGACTATCCCTGACCTCAGTGACCTCACTTGTTTTTATGTATTCAGGATAACTGTGCCCCCGCCCCCCCCACATCCCCACCGCTTCCCTCTCCTCCTGCCTCCCTCTTGCTTTCCTCAGAGCCCCTCTGACCTGACCAGGTTTGCTGAATAGAGGCTGTTTACAGTGTGTTGTTTTCATCTTTTTTCCTGGCTGCGGTCCAGACTTGTTTAGAAATCTGTCCCTGGCACCCCTCGCTGAGAAAGTGAACCCTTTGATCTCCAGGGCAACGAGACAGAGGAGAAAAAACATCACTCTAAAAAACACCCTTAGCGCAGAGAACGCCAGCTCCCTGCGGGGACGGGAGGGGTGGGGACTCTTCTTCTTGTCTGATCCTTGCTTTTTTCTGAGTGTGGAACGAGGCAAGAGAGGGCCAGGCGGTGGGTGAGGGAACCCCCATGCTGTGGCCCAGGTGGGGAAGGGGACTGAGGCAGCTGGGGAGGGACACGTGAAATGGTTCCACCTGGTTACCAGGAAAGGGTCTGGGCAGGAAACTTCCCTTCCATCAGGGTCCCTAACTGTTTTTGTGCCATAAACACCTTGGGCAGTCCAGGAGGCTGTTGGCCCTCTTCTCAGAATAGTGTTTTAACTTTTATTATTTATTTATTTTTTTTCATAGAGATAGGGTCTCTCTCTGTCACTCAGGTTGGAATGCAGTGGTGTGATCGTGGCTCACTGCAACCTCCCACCTCCTGGGTTCAGGCGATCCTCCTGCCTCAGCCTCCTGAGTAGCTGGGACTACAGGCACATGCCACCATGCTCAGCTAATTTTTAAATTTCTTGTAGAAATGAGGTCTCACTATATTTCCCAGGCCAGTCTCGAACTCCTGGGTTGAAGGGATCCTCCTACCTCAGCTTCCGAAAGTGCTGGGATTATAGGTGTGAGCCACTGTGCCTGGCAAATTAGTGTTTTTAGACACATAAACCAAAATGTATAGGATTATGGAGGAAACCAGTTATAGTGAAATATGGTTATCAAAATATAAGTAAACTTTTAGTATATATGTGCTGCTTTATTAACACACTGAATAATAAGATCCAGAAGCAGGTGTGATAAATACCATAAGTTAGAAGAAGCAAGGTGCATGAATGATACTTTAAGGTATGTACAGCCTTGTAATCTGATGGAAAAACATCTGTGATTTCTGACAGTGACCGTCCCAGTGACTACTAATACCACTGTGGTGTGTCACGTTAACAGTGGAAAGAAATACCAAATTTCAGGATTTTTTTTTTTCAGAGATAGGATCTCACACTGTCATGCAGGCCTGAGTGCAGTGGCATGATCACAGCTCACTGCAGCCTCTATCACCTCAGCCTCAAGCGATCCTCCCATCTCAGCCTCCCAAGTAACTGGAACTATAGGCGCCTGCCACCATGCCTGGCTAATTTTTTTATTTTTTGTAGAGACAGGTTTTGCCATGTTACCCAGGCTGGTCTTGACCTCCTGGGCTCAAGCAATCTGACCCCCTTGGCCTCCCAAAGTGCTGAGCCACTGTGTCCAGCCTTTTTTTTCCTCTTTAAAGAGAAAAAAGAAAAAATCACATTTATGGATACAGCTATCTTTTAGCTGTTCTCAGCTTTTTGGTGGGGGTGGTGGTGGTGGTGGTTTTTTGTGTGTGTGTGTGTGTGTGTGTGTGTGTGTGTTTTTTTTTTTTTTTTTTTTTTTAGATAGGCTCTCTCTCTGTTGCCCAGGCTGGAGTGCAGTGGCACGATCTCAGCTCACTGCAACCTTCGCTTCCAGGGTTCAAGTGATTCTCATGCCTCAGCCTCCGAATAGCTGGGATTACATGAGTTTTGTTTGGTTTGGTTTTTAACTCACAAGAACTAAGCTTTACTTTTCAAATATGCTGAAGGCAGCCAAGGGTTCCAGCAGGAAATGGAGAAGGGAGAGGAGGCAATCGGAGGCAGCGGTGGGCATCCTGCATGCCCCAAGGCTGGAGGGAGACTGAGGGCCTCTCCTGTTGTAAGGCCTCCTAGTCCTCTGACTGCTGCATCTGCCAGGCTGACAGCCTCAGGCCGTGCAACTTTTCCTGCAGAACTGTGGGAAAGGGGTGGGAATGGGAGGTTGCCCAGCTTGGTGAGGGAGTGGGTTCATGGGAGCGGCTCTTTGGGCCTCTCAGGGGCTGTTCACCAGGGCAAAGCTAGATGCATGATCCCAAATCCTCCTGCGTGCTTGTCCAAGGAACTGGTGGGGAACACGTGCCTCAACTGGATATGAGTTTTTATTTTTATTTATTTCTTCTTTTGTTACCCAGGCTGAAGTGCAGTGGCATGATCTGGGCTCACTGCAACCTCTGTCTCCTGGGTTCAAGTCATTCTCCTGCCTCAGCCTCTCCAGTAGCTGGGATTACAGGTGTATGCCACCACACCTGGCTAATTTTTGTATTTTTAGTAGAGACAGGGTTTTACCATGTTGGCCAGGCTGGTCTGGAACTCCTGACCTCAGGTGATCCACCTACCTTGGCCTCCCAAAGTGTGAGCCACCATGCCCGGCAGATTAAGTAAGTATTTAACACATGTAATCCCAGCACTTTGGGAGGCGGAGGTGGGCGGATCACTTGAGGTCAGGAGTTAGACCAGCCTAGCCAACATGGAGAAACCCTGCCTCTACTAAAAATACAAAAGTTAGCCAGGCGTGGGGGCACGTGCCTGTAATCCTAGTTACTAGGGAGGCTGAAGCACGAAAATTGCTTGAACTTGGGAGGCGGAGGTTGTAGTGGGCTGAGGTTACACCACTGCACTCCAGCCTGGGCAAGAGTGAGACTCTATCTCAAAAAAAAAAAAAAAAAAAAAAAATTTTTGGAGCCATGACTGATGAAGTACTGCCACTTGGTGGCAGCATGCCTAGGCTGTGCAGCAGCCCCCTTGACCTTCCCACAGGTGACACTGGAGACCACCATTGGCAACAAGAACCCAGCCCTGTGGAAGTATGTGCGGCCCAGGGGCTGTGTGCTGGAGTGGGTACGCAACATCGTGGCCAACCGCCTGGCCTCGGATGGGGCCACCTGGGCAGACATCTTCAAGAGGTTCAACAGCGGCACGTGAGTGGGCTTCTGGCCCTGTGGCTTCCCCTGCACCAAGAGATAGACCAACCTCCCCTTTAACACTCACACTCCTGGGGACCAGATGTGGCATCCGGGCCACACACCCCACGCCCTCCTTTGTTTCATACATGGGGAGACTGAGGCTAGGGAAGGAAAGGATTTGCCCCTCCCCTGCAGGCTCCTCAGCCTAGGAAGGGGTGCCTTGGTGGCAGTACAGGAAGAGCACTTGGAACCTGAAGACTCTCAAGGGGACAGTGGGGAGGGCTGTTTGAGGAGGTGGACGTGGGTGGGTGGCAGGGCCTGTGAGCCAGAGACACTGGAACTGGGCAGTGCAGATCTTACAGCATCCGGCAGAGGAGCTGACCTAGGGAGCCACAGAATATTCTGGAACAGTCAAGCAGCATGACGAGAGAGGGGTTTGTGGATACCTGGTCATGCTGCAGCGTCAGGGTGTCAGTTGAATGGCTGGACAACCCCAGGCCCACTTCCTGTAATTCCTAGCTGAGTGGGACACTGCAGGGTGGGGAAAGCTGGGGAGGTGGCTCCAGGCTCTGTTCAGTCCTCCCTTCCCCTGCCCGGCAGGTATAACAACCAGTGGATGATCGTGGACTACAAGGCGTTCATCCCGGGTGGGCCCAGCCCCGGGAGCCGGGTGCTTACCATCCTGGAGCAGATCCCGTGCGTACCCTGGGAGGGAGGGGTGGGGGCTCGGGGCAGAGGGGACTGCCAGGGTGAAGGCCCAGAGCCGTGCTGGCGCTGTGCAGGAAGTGAACGATCTCAGGAGGGTGTGGCTGGAAGAGAAGGTGTCCCTGGTGGGGGCTGAAGTTCAGGACTTAATCCATCCTCCAGGCAATGGGGAGCCATCGGGGCTCCCCGAGCAGGGCAGTGCCCACAGGAGCCCCTTTTCTGATCACCTCCACCCCATCTCTCTTCTCGGTCTCAGCGGCATGGTGGTGGTGGCTGACAAGACCTCGGAGCTCTACCAGAAGACCTACTGGGCCAGCTACAACATACCGTGCGTGCCTTCTCACTCCGCTCCCCGTCACCCTCCAGGGCATCCACCTCACTCCTTGCCCAGCTCCTTCCTAGGCAATGTTTTTAAACCCACAGAACAAAGAATCCCAGCCTACCCCCTTTTCTGGCCAGGAGAGCCCAGACAGTTTGGCAGTGTAGTTGCATGGCTTAAGTCAGCATCCATGTGACCTCTGGTTCTAACACCCAGAGCAGGGTGGTGTGGGGTGGCCAGGCTCAGGGACTGGCCCCTGCCAGGGTCTCTGACTGGATCTGCCTTACTGGGCTGTACAGCTGTCACCTCCTGAGGCTCACTTACTTTACCTGCATTTTCTCATTTGACTCTTAAAATTGCCACATGTGGTCACTAGAGTTCCTGTTCCCATCTCACAGATGATGAAACTGAGGCCCTGAGAAAGTACCTCACTTTCCCAAGCTTCCCCTGTTGGCGAATGGTGAAGGCAGGATTTGTTTTTTGTTTTTTGTTTTGAGACAGAATCTTGCCCTGTCACCCAGGCTGGAGTGCAATGGTGCAATCTCAGCTCACTGCAGCCTCCGCCTCCTGAGCTCAAGTGATTCTCCTGCCTCAGCCTCCTGAGTAGCTGGGATTACAGGCGCCAGCCACCATCCTTGGCTAATTTTTCTATTTTCAGTAGAGACAGGGTTTCACCATGTTGGCCAGTCTAATCTCAAACTCCTGACCTCAAGTGATCCGCCTGCCTTGGCTTCCCAAAGTGCTGGGATTATAGGCATAAGTCACCACACCCGGACTGAAGGCAGGATTTGATGCCATGCCTTTTGGGCCCCAGAGCCCAAGCTTGGCCACCCCACCAAGCCACCCCCCAGCACAAATGGAAGACATTATTGTTATCCCGAATGTCATAGTTGGTTTTGTTGTTGTTGTTGTTGTTTGTTTGTTTGTTTTTAGAGACAGAGTCTCGCTCTGTCACCCAGGCTGGAGTGCAATGGTGCGATCTCAGCTTGCTGCAACCTCTGCTTCCCGGGTTCAAGCGATTCTTGTGCCTCAGCCTCCCAAGTAGCTGGGATTACAGGCACGTGCCACCACGCCGGCTAATTTTTTTTTTTTTTTTTGAGACGGAGTCTCGCTGTGTCGCCCAGGCTGGAGTGCAATGGTGCGATCTCAGCTTGCTGCAACCTCTGCTTCCCGGGTTCAAGTGATTCTTGTGCCTCAGCCTCCCAAGTAGCTGGGATTACAGGCACGTGCCACCACGCCGGCTAATTTTTTTTTTTTTTTTTTGAGACGGAGTCTCGCTGTGTCGCCCAGGTTGGAGTGCAATGGCTCGATCTCAGCTCACTGAAACCTCCACCTTCCAGGTTCAAGTGAGTACATGCCTCAGCCTCCCGAGTAGCTGGGATTACAGGCACACACCACCGTGCCTGGCTAATTTTTGTATTTTTAGTGGAGACAGGGTTTCACCATGTTGGCCAGGCTAGTCTCAAACTCCTGAGCTCAGGTGATCTGCCCGCCTCGGCCTCCCAAAGTATTGGGATTACAGGTGTGAGCCACTGCACCCAGCCTGAATGTCGTAGTTGTAAGTAATAATGTCCTGGTGTGACTGCCCCTCCCCTCCCTGGCCACAGCCTTGGCTGAGTGAGGCCAGTGGGGGTCATGGGTGACCATCCTTGTCCCCGGCAGGTCCTTCGAGACTGTGTTCAATGCCAGTGGGCTGCAGGCCCTAGTGGCCCAGTATGGGGACTGGTTTTCTTATGACGGGAGCCCCCGGGCCCAGATCTTCCGGCGGAACCAGTCACTGGTACAAGACATGGACTCCATGGTCAGGCTGATGAGGTAGGTGCCAGTTGGGTGGTGGGTTGGGGAGAGGGAGGCCGCAGGAACACAGAACTTCCTGTGCGCTTTTTGTACCAACTCATTCAAACTTTGCTGCCAGCCCCAGAGGGCCAGCAGGGGGTGGTCAGATGTTGGACACCAGTGCAGCAGCTCGGTGGCCGCTCTCCACTTGGGCCCTGTCACTGTCCTCATAGCTAAGGGGAGGATGCTAGACATCTGTTGAGTGACCTGTACTGCTAGGCACTATGCTTGGTACCAGGAGCAACAGGTAGAAAACCTGTGCCCCACTGTCCTGTCTCTTGGGCGGTGCAGAAATCCATCAAGTTCTTGCACTGGTGTCAATGTGTAAAGATGGCTGTGTTCCAAGAGAGGCTATCCAGGAACAAACGGGTGCCTCACCTGGCTGGGGTGGTGGCATGGAGGCCTTCCCTGAGGATGAGTGCCTGAGCAGAGAGCTGAATAATGAAGGCAGAGTGACTTAGGTGAAGGGGTCCGGGCCCCAGGCAGAGGAACTGTCGGGGGTAGTGTGCAGTGGGAGGGGCTCATCAAGTTGAAGGCTGGCAGCTGTTAACGGGGCTGCCTGTGAGGATTTTGGCCCCCGTCTTAGCCTCTCCTTCCTGGGATGACTGATGTTCCCTCCTTTTCCCCATCCAGGTACAATGACTTCCTCCATGACCCTCTGTCACTGTGCAAAGCCTGCAACCCCCAGCCCAATGGGGAGAATGCTATCTCCGCCCGCTCCGACCTCAACCCGGCCAATGGCTCCTACCCCTTCCAGGCCCTGCGTCAGCGCTCCCATGGGGGTATCGATGTGAAGGTGCTGCCTCCTCCCTAGGGCCTGAGCTGTGGGTGGGGGAAGTCACCATCACCAGCTTTGGGGAAGGGACAGGTTGGGGCAAAGCTGATGGCGGGGCAGGAATCACAGTCGGAATTGGGCTGTGGTTGGGGTCACAGTAAAGGTGACAGTATGGGCTGGGCACGGTGGCTCATGCCTGTAATCCCAGCACTTTGGGAGCCCAAGGTGGGCAGATCACTTGAGGTCAGGAGTTTGAGACCAGCCTGGCCAACATGGTGAAAACCCGTCTCTACTAATAATACAAAAATTAGCTAGGCGTGGTGGCGGGCGTCTGTAATCCCAGCTACTCAGGAGGCTGAGGCATGAGAATTGCTTGAACCCGGGAGGCAGAGGTTGCAGTGAGCCAAGATCACGTCACTGCACTCCAACCTGGGTGACAGAGCAGAGACTCAAAAAAAAAAAAAGTGACAGTTCAGAATTGGGCTCTGGGGTCAAGGTCAGGGTGGGAGGCTGGGTGCCTGGATTGGGGCAGGCCAGGACCCCTGCTCAGCTGCGGCTCTGCCCTGTCCCCAGGTGACCAGCATGTCACTGGCCAGGATCCTGAGCCTGCTGGCGGCCAGCGGTCCCACGTGGGACCAGGTGCCCCCGTTCCAGTGGAGCACCTCGCCCTTCAGCGGCCTGCTGCACATGGGCCAGCCAGACCTCTGGAAGTTCGCGCCTGTCAAGGTTTCATGGGACTGAAGTTCTGTCCCTGCTCTGCTGCTTTCGCCCCTGCTGACCCTCGTCAGGGTCACCCCCGTCCCAAGGCCACCGGACTTCTAACTCCAGCCCCTCCTGGGGGCTTCGTTCTCTGATCTGGGGTCTGAGTCATCTCCTCCTAGAGTGGGTCACGAACCTGATGGGGCTCAGAACTGACCCCCTCTCTCCCCCGAGGTGGGTGGGCACCGTGGCGTCTCTTCTGCCCTGCCCTAAATCTCCCACTCTCTGTTTCTGTCTGTTTCCTACTGCTGCTCTCTCAACCTCATTCCCACCTCTGGGGCCCCTTCCTCGTGCTTCTCCTTCCTGAGGGTTTGGGAAGGTCCTGGGGCAGACTCTGGGGCTCCCATGGGGTGGAAGGAGCCTGTTCCAGCACCCTTCTCCCAGCTGCATTCCCACGGGTGGCCCTGGAGCTGGTGAGCTTTGTCTGGGCGTTGTCTTCGGCTGGCATTGCTCCTCCCAGCTCTGGCCCCTCTGCTCCCTCAGGAAGCAGTCCCCTCGTCTCCCTTTCTGGGCAGCTTCCTTGAGGACAGAAACTTGAAAACAAACACAAACCAAAGTTTCTGGCCATCTGTGGCTGGAGGGTTCTGAATGTCCTCTCTCCATGTCAGGCAGAGGGTCAGCCCCCATGCTTCTGCCTCAGGCCCCACCCCACCCCACCCCAGGCCTGCCCCTCACCTCAGGGCCATACCCACAGCGCCCTGATGGAGGAACCAGACCGCAGGCTGTGCCACCATTAAACAAGAGCGGCTGTGGCCCCATGCTGTGCTTCTTGGGGTGGCAGGGAAGGTGGGGTCAGCGCTTTTTCTCCTCTCAGGTTTGGGTTCTGCGCCATCCCCCATGCAGCCTCCTGTGCAGCCCTCTGTCTGTCCTTCTGTCCATTCATTCATCTGCCAACATACTCACCCATCATCCATCTGCACAGCCTTCCACCCACCCATCCGTCTTCCATCATCCATCCATCCATCTACCTATCCATTTATCATCCATCCACTCACCCATCCAACCACCCATCCAACCATTCAGCCATCTCCATCTGTCCATTTTCTTTCTTCTTCTTTTTTTTTTGTTTTTGTTTTTTCTGAGTGGGAGTTTCACTCTATTGCCCAGGCTGGAGTGCAATGGCATAATCTCTGCTCACTGCAACCTCTGCTTCCTGGGTTCAAGCGATTCTCCTGCCTTAGCTTCCCAAGTAGCTGGGGTTACAGGCATGAGCCACCATGCCTGGCTAATTTTGTATTTTTAGTAGAGACAGGGTTTCACCATGTTGGCCAGGCTGGTCTCGAACTCCTGGCCTCAAGTGATCCGCCCGTCTTGGCCTCCCAAAGTGCTTGGATTACAGATGTGAGCCCCCGCACCTGGCCTCATTTGTCCATTTTCCATCCACTTACCCACCCACCCATTTACTCATCCAGCCATTGACTCATCCATCCACCTATGAGATCAGACAGGGAGGGATCCTTTTTTGTATTGGTCTGTATACCACAGCATGGCTTACGAAGTTCTTATCTATCTATCACCCATCCACCCACCCATTTATCTACCCACCCATTCATCCACCCACCCATCCAACTACCTATCCATTCATCCATCCACCCATCTGCCAACGCATCCATCCATCCACCCACCCAATCATCTACCCACTCACCTATCCACCCATCCACCTACCTATTTGTCACCCATCCACCCATCCATCCATCCAATCACCCATCCAACCATCAATCCAACCATTTTCATCTGTTCATTTTCCATCCATCTACCCGTCCACCCATTCACTCCTCCATCCACCTACCTATCCATTTATCACCCATTTACCCATCCATCCATCCATCCTTCCAACCATTTATCCACCCATCCAAACATTTCCATCTGTTTTTCCATCCATCTACCCATCCACCCATTCACTCATCCATCCACCTTCCTATCCATTTATCATCCATCTACCCACTCACCCATCCATCCAACCTTCCAACCATTTATCCACCCATCCAACTATTTCCATCTGTTCATTTTCCACCCATTTACCCATCTACTAATTCACTCATCCATCCACCTACCTATCCATTTATCATCCATCTACCCACTCACCCATCCATCCATCCTTCCAACCATTTATCCACCCATCCAACCATTTCCATCTGTTCATTTCCATCCATCTACCCATCTACCCATTCACTCATCCGTCCACCTATCCATTTATCACCCATCTACCCATCCATCCACCCACTCATCCATCCATTCATCCATCCACCCACCCACCCGTCCATCCACCTACCTATTCATTTATCACCCATCCATCCACACACGGGTCTGTGCAGATTCATTAATATCCACCCATGCATCCATATTTATCTATTTTCTATCCATCAGCCATCCATTCATTCATATCCATCCATCCATCTATCCATCCAGATGTTTATTGAGCACCTGTGTTCTGGGTCCTATTTGGGAGCCTTGTTAACCACCAAGACCTTCCTAAGCCATATTGTGGTATACAGACAGATACAAAAAAAAAGGCTCTCTCCCTGTCTGATCTCATGCAGCCTGCCTTGGAGACAAGACTCTCCCAGTGCTGTGTGCTTGGAGAGAGGAAAGCACACAGCCCTGGAGTCAGAGACCTGGGTTTCAATTCTGTCTCCACCTCTTATTAGCTAGCTATGGACTCCTCTCTGAGCCTCGATTACCTCATCTGTGAAATGGGGTAATGGTGTGAGCAGCGTTTCCCTGGGGGATGTGATGCAGCCCACTTGGGGCCTCATGCACTCAGCATCTCTTTATTAGCAAACACTTATTGAACCCCTAGTACATGCCAGGCACTGTTATGAGGTCCCGGGGATACTTTATAACAAAAGGGACAGAAGCATTCCTGCTCTTGTGAAGTTTACATTGACTAGATAGTAAACAAAATAAATGAAATATGCAGTGTGTCAGTGCTGGTAAACCCGTGGAGAAAATAAAGCAAGGTTGGGGTCTGGGGTTGGGAATTGACTTGTGGTTTTATCTTATTTTCCTTTTTATTTATTTATTTATTTTTTGAGACGGAGTCTCACTCTGTCGCCAGACTGGAGTGTAATGGCACAATCCCGGCTCACTGCAACCTCTGCCTCCTGGGTTCAAGTTATTTTTCCTTTTTGTAGAGACAGAGTCTCACTGTGCCAACCAGCCTGGTCTTGAACTCCTGGGCTCAAGCGATCCTCCCACAGGCGTGAGCCACTGCGCCCAGCCCTGAGTGACTCTTAAACTTCAGTTTGAACTTGGGGTCATCCAGAAAGTACCCTGAGGGTGGGGTTCCCTCCATGCTCTGGAGCCAGCCCCAGTAATTCCTCTTTGATCTATGATACGGGCTTCAGCATATGCTTTTGTTGGAAGAGAGGGCTCCATGTTTGAGGAGGGTTTGCATGACATTGACTTCAAGTCCACCCACCCTTTCCCTCTCCCAGAGATGGGTGTCCAGTGTCAGCTCACACACGCCCAGGGGAGGGGGCCTCACTTCTTTGCTTCCATTGGGTCTGTGATGAAATAATTCTGACTTAGTAGGAAGGACTTCATATCAGAATGAAGTTGGCCTCCCCAGCTGCTTCTGCCTTCAGCGGAGGCAGCCTTTGTCCCACCCCAAGTCCCTCTTGTTTAGCCACCTGCTTCCTGTGGTACAGGGATGCCCCTGTCCTGGCATGCAAGACTAGCTGGAGTCAGGCTCCTGGCCTCACTCTGGGGCCCCAGTTGAGAGCTGGGGCTGAGAGCAGACTTGGGGTGGAAGGAAAGCAGGAAAGGAGACAGCTGATGATGGGAAAATGCACAGGATCTTTGTTTCATAAATATATTTTATTTTTCAATGAAAAAGTTTGCACATTAGAAAAATTAGTAAGGGTCAGGGGTGGGCTTCCTGGGAGGATGGCTGAGATGGTTCCTCAACCCTGGTTGGTGGCCCTGTTGACCTTCACTGGGAACAAGTTCAGGGGCGAGGTCACAGCTTTGAGGAATTCCTCACTGCTGTGATTCAGGTCTCTCCTGTCCACCCTGCTCTGGGTACCTGGTGTGTTACTTGTGGGCACTTGTCACGCCAGCAAGTTGGCTAAGGATGGGCACAGAGCAGTCACACAGATACCAAAAAGGTCCAATTCATAGCCTCGCTGGCTGCCGACCTTTGGCCTCTGCATAGTGGGCTCCTGATAACAAGAAGTTAACCTGCACCCAGGCCACAGGTGCTCAGCCAAACATACGACGAGGCGCTGGATAAAACTCCAGCCCCTCCAGGGGTCTCTTGGGCTAGGAGAGCACAGATCGGTAAGGGGTCCGTCCTCACTTGGGCAACCTATTTGTCATGCCCAGCTGTTCCTTGAGCGCCCGCAGCTGGGCCAGGCTGATGTTGCTGCCCCCGCAGACGATGACCACGAGGGATGGCAGCGGGGTTCGGAGATTCCCCTCCAGTTGGAGCTTCTGGATCACGTGGCTATAGACAGCGGCCAGGGCTGCCCCGCAGGCGGGCTCCACCAGGATCTTCTCATCATCTGCCAGAGAAGGGGCGTGACAGGGGCGTGGCCTGAGTTTCCCAGGGTGCACAGGAGCTGACAGGCCATTGGCAGGACCTGGGAATACTGAGCCAATCAGCTCTCAGCCCTGGCTGCAGCCGCAGGTCCTGAACCAAACGTCCCGTCATCGGCCTGAATTGGCCCTTCCAAGCCTGAGCCAGGGCCTGGGTTTCATCATGAGTGCTAACACTGATAGAATGAGTGTGGTTGCGTGAGCACTGTGTTGAGAAGGATTCTGAGGCATCATCTGAGCAAGAGTTCCATGGTTGATTAGCCAAGTGTGCAGCAGGTACAGAAGCATAAATGGTACTATTTTTTTCTCTCTTTTTTGCCATCCCTGCCCTAGACGGAACCCAGAAAGAGTCCAGCCTAGTTACAGACTCACCTCTGAATGAATCAAACTCTGAGCCCCATGTTTTCCTTTTTTTACCCTGGCTGCCAGGAAACTCAGAAGCAACATTTTAAATATTCACTTATTGTTTTCTGCTGCTATGGTTATCAGGCTTACTTTTCTATTTACTTTTCCATTATGTGTGGCTTTTGCTTTTCTATTTCTACACGGCATTGTATTATCTTCTATTAATGGAAAATTCTAGGCAGAGGTGGAAGACAGAACTGTGAAGGAAACTTGGGGTGAGTGGGATCCCCAGTGGCATACCAAGTGGACAGCCACTTAGCGCCTGAGTCAGCAGGTCAGGTCATGGGAGGACCTGGCACATACCCACGAACTTCTCAATGGCGGCCACAGCCTCCTGGTCCGAGATAACTTCAGAGAAAATGGGGTGTTCCTGAAACAGCTTCAGGGCCTGAGCCCCCACAGTCTTCACGCCCAGGGCCTTGGCAACACTGAGAGAAGTGGGAACCCAGAAGAGGATGGGAGTGGGGGAAACAGGAGAGAGATGGGGGCAGGGAGGGAGAGAAGGAGATGGATGTGAGACAGAGAAGGCAATGCATCTGGGGGCAGGGGGACAGGTATCACCTCTGCAGCTGTAAAACCCTGAAAAGCCTCAGGGATCCCCAAACCAAGTGGGGTCTTCTAATAAGGTGCAGAGTGTTTGAATTGACATCATATAGTATATTCTTTAGTATCATTTTTTTAATTTTTTTGAGACTGAGTGTCACTATGTTGCCCAGGCGGGTTTTTGTTTTGTTTGTTTTTTTGTTGTTTTTTTGTTTTTTTTTTTTTTTAGACGGAGTCTTGCTCTGTTGCCCAGGCTGGAGTGCAGTGGTGCGATCTCAGCTCACTGCAATCTCTGCCTCCCGGGTTCAAGCAATTCTCCAGCCTCAGCCTACCGAGTAGCTGGGACTACAGGTGCCCACCACCACACCCGGCTAATTTTTGTATTTTTAGTAGAGATGGGGTTTCACTATGTTGACCAGGCTGGCCTCGAATTCCTGACCTTAGGTGATCCACCCCCCTCGGCCTTCCAAAGTGCTGGGATTACAGGCATGAGCCACCATGCCCGACCCCAGGCTGGTCTTGAACTCCTGGGCTCAAGTGATCCTCCTGCCTCGGCACAGCGTCATATTCTGATCAACACTAAGTCAGGAGCAAATGCCTAAGAGGACCCTTGTTGTTCCCTGCTAGGACTCCCTGCTTTTGCTCCGGGTTACAACCGCTACCTGGTTAACCCTCATGAAGCTTAGCACCACTCTGCCTGCCCACATCCTGCTGTGTCCTTCAAGGCTCAGGATTAAGGCCACCTCCTCCAAGGAGTCCTCCTGGGAGAGTACTGAGTCCCACGGCCCTATGTGGAATTCTCAAATAGTCCTCCCTGCTAGTAACAAGCGCCCTGAGTACTTCTTGAGAAAGTGTTAGGTGCCAAGCACTTCACAAGCATTATTGAATTCACACAAGAATTCTGCTGTTGTTAATTGGTTTGATTTTGGAAAGGGGAAACTGAGGCAGAGAGTGTACAGTCACTTGCCCAAGGTCACACACCTAGGGAGTGCTGGAGCTGGGGCTGCAAGCAGGATCTGTATAACTTCAAGACCTGCACTGGTAACCAATGTGTTGACGCTGTCCCCAGCTTCCTGGGGTGACCACTAGCTCTATTCCCAGCTCAGCTGCCCCCTCTCCCTTCCCCAGGAGCATCTTGAGGGCCTGAGCCACCTCAGCCCTCAGCAGCACGTGGTTTACAGTAGGCGCTCAGCCATGACGTCTTCAGTCCCTACAGTGTGGGACACAGCAGCTCCAGATGCCAGGCTCAGGAATCTGGAAGAAGTTCTTACCTGGCTGGGCTCAGTCTTCCCTATCTGTAGGGGAGACTATTGTCTGCCCCGGTGTCTTTTCTAGCTGCACTTATGGGCACCTGGTGTAAAGACATTTCCCAGCCTCCCTTGCAGCTGGATGTGGCCATGTGACTAAGTTCAGGCCAACGAAAGGTAAGTGGAAGTGTTGTGTCTGTCTTTGAAGGTTGGAGCATAGCCTTCTGCCCTTGCTTCCCCATCCCTGCCAAATGGAATGTGGGTGTGATAGCTGGCACTCAGGCAACCATTTTGGACTGAAACACTACATGCTAAGGATAATGGGGAAACAAACTCAAGGGACCTGGCGCCCTGACTTTTCATGGTAAAGTTCAATCTCATTTAAGTCACTGTTATTTGGGCCTTCTGTGTAATGGGGTCAAAACCTAATCCTAATTAAATACTATCTACCAGCCGGGTGCGGTGGCTCACGCCTGTAATCCCAGCACTTTGGGAGGCTGAGGTGGGCAGATCACCTGAGGTGAGGAGTTCGAGACTAGCCTGGCTAACACGGTAAAACCCCATTTCTACTAAAAATACAAAATTAGCCAAGTGTTGGGGCAGACGCCTACTCCTGAGGCTGAGGCAGGAGAATCGCTTGAACTTGGGAGGCAGAGGTTGCGGTGAGCTGAGATTGTACCATTGCACTCCAGCTTGGGCAACAAGAGCGAAACTCTGTCTCAAAAAACAAAGACAAAAACAAACAAACTATCAAAGGTTTGGGGCTTGGATATGAACTCCTTAGGAGCAAGACTTGTGTTTATGCACCACTCTCTCCCCAGATCAGCCAGTGTCTTACACACAATAGGGGCTCAGTAAATGGTTGGCAAAGTAATGAGGTATGTAAAACCTTGCCACAGAGGACTCAGTAAATGATTCCTATGAGACCTTCCTTCCTTCCTTCCTTCCTCCCTCCCTCCCTTTTTCCTTTCCTTTCCTTTCCTTTCTTTCTCTTTCTCTCTTTTTCTTTCTTTCTTCCTTTCTTTCTCTTTTTTCTTTCTTTCTCTCTTTCTTTCTCTTTCTTTTTCTTTCTCTCTTTCTCTTTCTCCTTTTTTCTTTCTTTCTCTCTCTTTCTTTCCTCTTCCTTTCTCCTTCCTTCCTTCTTTCCCTCCCTCCCTCCCTCTCTCCCTTCCTTCCTTCCTTCCTTCCTTCCTTCCTTCCTTCCTTCCTTCCTTCCTTCCTTCCCTCCCTTCCTCCCTCCCTCCCTCTCTCCCTTCCTTCCTTTTTCTTTGTTTCTAGACAGGGTCTTGCTCTGTCACCCAGGCTGGAGTGCACTGGCATGATCATGGCTCACTACAGCCTCAGTCTCCTGGGCTTAAGCAATCCTTCCCACCTTAGCCTGGGACTATGCGTGTGTGCTACCACGCCCAGTTAATTTAAAAAAAAAACAAAAAACTTTTTTTAGAGGTGGGAATCTCTCTATGTTGCTCAGGCTGGTCTTGAACTCCTGGCCTCAAGTGATCTTCCTGCCTCAGCCACCCAAAGTGCTGGGATTACAGGCACAAGTCACTGTGCCCAGCCTCATATGAGGCTTTTCACGTGAGGAAGTGTGACATGTTGGAGTCACACAGACTTGGGTTTGAGTCCAAGCTGTACCACTCACTGGACGTGGCCCTGGGCAAGCGATCAAAGCCTCCATTGTCTCATCTGTGAAACAGGCTGACATCAGGATCTATCTCAAAGCCAGCCCTAAGGGGGACTCCCCAGTGCTTGCTGGACACCCGAGGGAGGCACCCCAGCTGCTCACCTGGTGATCTTGGGCAGGGAGACAAGTTTGCCTGCGGTGGTGGCAGCGTGGAAGCTGTGGGCACCAAAAGTCTCCATGGCGATGACAGGCACGTCCCCCCAGCCCACCTCCTGCAGCCCCTGGACCACTCCACACAGCAGGCCCCCGCCGCCCACTGACAGCGCGATGGCCCCCGGCTTTTCCCACAGTGTCTCCTTCAGCTCTTTCACGATGGAAGCGTGGCCTTCCCTGGAGGGTGGGGAGAGGGGGTGGCAGGTCAGGGCTAGGCTTCCTGGAGACACCAGCTCAGGTTTGCACCGGCCTTATCCCAGCTGATGGGGCCTGGAGCTAGTTCCCTCCCCACCCCCAACCTTGGCTTCTAGCTGCCAGCATCTGTGTCTCTGCCTGAGGACCTTCTCTGGCCACCTGAGCTACCTGCAAACAGAGTCAGGAGATGGCAGCCCCTTAAGGCAGCCCTCAACCAATGGCTACGAGTCGGTGTACAAACTCCCCTGCTCCTTCTCCCAGGGGGCGGGAAACTGCTGTGCGCCTTCTGCACTGGCTCCCAGGGTCCCCGAGGGATTAAGCTCTAGCCACCCACAGCGGCCACCTGCCTTTGAAAGCCCCCTTCCTGACATTTTGGACTGGATGATAGAAAAAGAAAAAAGAAACAGCAAAGCCCCCTTCCTTCCCTGGCTTACTTCCCCACTCCCCCACTGAATCACCTCCCAAATAAACTCCTTTCCCTGAAACCTTTGTCCCCAAGTCTGCTTCCAGGAGGACTCAACTGCAGACACTTGGGCATCTGTGTGCTTGCATGTTCAGCCTTGGGTGTGTTGCATGTGCAGCCGTGGATAATGGGCATTTGGTGACATGTGTGCACTTGCTGCTGCACCTGGGTGTAACGTGTGTTTCTTCTTTTTTTTTTTTTTTGTTTTTTTTTTTGAGATGGAGTCTCACTCTCTTGCCCAGGCTGGAGTGCAGTGGCGTGATCATGGCTCACTGCAACTTCCACCTCCTGGGTTCAAGCGATTCTCCTGCCTTAGTCTCCCTAGGAGCTGGGATTACAGGCGTGTGTCACCAAGTACAGGTAATTTTTGTATTTTTAGTAGAGATGGGGTTTCCCCATGTTGGCCAGACTGGTCTCAAACACCTGACCTCAAGTGATCCTCCCACCTTGGCCTCCCAAAGTGCTGGGATTACAGGCGTGAGCCACTGTGCCCCGCCTAAGTGTGCTTCTACATGGTGGTGTGCGCACACATGTGCAGCTGCTGTGCATGAGGACGTGATGATGTGCATCATAGCAATGCCTGCCCAGTGATATAGGGCAGTGGCTGCCACCCCCACCAAGTGACCTTGAACTCCACATACCAGATGAGGGGGTCATCAAAGGGGGGAATGTAGACCCAACCCGGGTTGTTCTTCGCTAGGGCCTTGGCCAGCTCGAAGGCTTCATCCAATAACTGCAAAGCCACAGGGGAGATAGGAGGGGGTGAGGCACAGGGGGCACCCTGTCCAGCCACCAGGCGCCCTCTCTCTTCCTTGCCCTGGGTCGGCACTCACCTCACCCACCACCTTGACTGTGGCACCTTCATTCTTGAGGCGCTCAATGGTGAGAGCAGGTGTGGTGCTGGGCACCACGATGGTGGCGGGGACGCCGAGTTGCCTGGCCGCATATGCAGCCGCCATGCCTGCGTTGCCCGCTGCCAGGGTCGGGGGTGGAGAGCGTGTCAGTGCGGGAGCATCTGGGAGCCCAGGCAGGACTGCGTACCCTCTACTGGGGGCTCTGGAGTTCCCCCCTCACCTCCCCACCCTGGGCGACTGCTGGCCTCCCCCTGGAATTCCAAATTGGTGGCTGCTGCCATTGTTTTCAGTGGCACATTGCTGGGGAAACCAGGGCTCAGAGAAGCAGAGTGTCTGATCCCAGGACACACAGCAGAGGACAGGATGGGGAAGCAGATCACTTACCCGAGGAGCAGACAAAATGTGCACAGCCTTGCTTGGCCCACTGTGGAGACAACAGGAGAGGCACTCAGGCCCACCTCCCAGTCATTGCCTGTGCTCTTCCTCCCCACCTGGAATACCTGCCAGGATTCCAGTGGACACGGACGTTTCCTTCACTCAGAATTTGTTCTACCCTTGTCTGAGACTGCACCTCCCATCTCCAAAGAGACTGGCTCAGGAAAGGGTGGAGGAAAATAGGCGACTGATGGCTCTGGGATCAGTCCCAAGGAACCCTCCTGGAAGGGCACCCCTCAAACAGAGGAAGCCCTAATGGTGGACGCTCAGTCCTTGCGGGGAGTCAGTAGGCTTATCCTACAACGCCTTTAATTTCACACAGCACTGGCCCTGCCCTGTTGAGGAAGGAGGACCTGCCACCCCTGCCCAGATAATGCTGACCCGGTCCCGTACCCTCTTGCAGAAGTGCCCAATGCCCCGGATCTTGAAGGAGCCGGAGGGCTGGGCACTGTCCATCTTGAGGTAGACGCTGGTGCCGGCCATTTTGGACAGGGCCATGCTGTCACGGATGGGGGTCTTCACGTGCAGGGGTTCTCCAGACATCATTCCTGGGAGAAAGGAAGGAAACCCAGAGGGTTAGGAGAGCTAGCCCCGGTGCCAGCACTGCCAGAGTGATCCCTTCCTTCGCTTCCCAGCAAGCCAAGCAAGGCCTCAGACGAGAGAGCATCCTGGAGACCTGGGCTCTAATCGCAAGTGGGCCACCTACTCACCATGTGACATCAGACAGGTAATCACGCCTTGGCCTCAGCTCTATCAGGGATCACCCTCCACTCCTGACCTCTCACACATTTGCTGGGAGGCTGAAGAGAGAACACTCAAACCTTGGAGCTTTCAAAATGCATGAGGTGAGGCCGGGCACAGTGGCTTATGCATGTAATACCAGCACTTTGGGAGGCCAAGGCTGGTGGATCACAAGGTCAGAAGTTCGAGACCAGCCTGGCCAACATGGTGAAACCCCGTCTCTACTAAAAATACAAAAAATTAGCTGGGCATGGTGGCGCACGCCTGTAACCCCAGCTACTTAGGAGGCTGAGGCAGGAGAATCACTTGAACCCAGGAGGCGGAGGTTGCAGTGAGCGAGATCGCGCCATTGCACTCCTGCCTGGGTGACAGAGCAAGACTCTGTCTTGAGAAAAAAAAAAAAAAGAAGAAGAAAGAGAATTAGCCAGGCATGGTGGCAGGCACCTGTAATCTCAGCTACTCAGGAGGCTGAGGGAGGAGCATCACTTGAACCGAGGAGGTGGAGGTTGTAATGGGCCAAGATCGAGCCACTGCACTCCAGCCTGGGCAACAGAGTGAGACTGTGTCTCAAAAAAAAAAAAGAATAGTCTATCTATCTATGTGAAAAATTCAGGGACACCCACACACACAGATAATCCATCCACACACACATACTCCATCCACACACACACGATCCACTCCCACACACAATCCATCCACACACACGCACAATCCATCCACACACACATATAGTCCACATGTTTCTTTTATATATTTTTTTAATTTTTTTATTTGAATTTTTTTTTGTTTTGTTCCACATGTTTCCATGTGCACAGAGCATTTCAGGAAACATGCATGACAGGCTGGCCAGGGTGGGGCCTCTGAGGAGAGCTGGCCCTCGGGATCATAGCACCCACCTTTTGCACAGTTTGATGTTTTACCATGTGCCTCTATTACTTACTTAAATGCATACATTTAAAAAAAACCTGGGCTGGGCGCGGTGACTCACACCTGTAATCCCAGCACTTTGGGAGGCCGAAGCGGGCGGATCACGAGGTCAGGAGATCGAGACCATCCTGGCTAACATGGTGAAACCCCGTCTCTACTAAAAATACAAGCTACTTGGGAGGCTGAGGCAGGAGAATGGCGTGAACCCGGGAGGCGGAGCTTGTAGTGAGCCGAGATCGCGCCACTGCACTCCAGCCTCGTCTACAGATCGAGACTCTGTCTCAAACAAACAAACAAACAAACAAAAACAACCTGGCAGCTGGCTCTTCTGACATGCAGTTCCAAGTATCTTGGCTTAAATGGACGATCCCAGGACCCAGCAAAATGCCTGACTCATAGTAGATGTTCAATAAATATTTATTTAAAAAAAAACAAAATAACCTAACTTTTGGGAAGCCCAATATTCAGTTAGGAAAAGCTCTTTCATAATTATTAATTTTGTCATAATTATTATAGCAGTGACTAATCACAGCTTTTAAATTTTATTCATTCATTCATTCATTCATTCATTCATTCATTCCAGTAGAGATGGGGTTTTGCTATGTTGGCCAGGCTGGTCTCCAACTCCTGGCCTCAAGCGTTCTGCCCACCTCAGCCTCCCAAACTGCTGGGATTACAGGCATGAGCCACAGCACCTGGCTTGCTGTTGTTTTAAGTCACATTTTGGGGTAGTTTGGTACACAGCAACAGGAAGGGGAATATTAACATAATTTGCCCAAAGTCACGCTGTGAGTGAGGCAGGGAGGCAGGATTTGAACTCGGGCAGCTGGCTCCAGGGCTCAGGCTCTCTCTGCGACCCATGGGTGTGGCTCAGGCTCCTGCTTCTGGATGGGCTCTGGGGGATGAAGCAGCTGGGGTGGCCCGGGGTCTAGCCACAGCCACGTCCACCCACCCAGCCTTCCCATCTCCCCTGCCTTCTGCTGAGAGTCTCAGGGAGGATTTGATTCTCCTCAACTTGGGCCGGGCCAGAAGAGATCAGCTGACGATGGCCAAGGGGCTCTCTGGTTCCCCCTCCCTCCACCATCCCAGAAGGCCAGGCAAGGGTGGCTAGCCAGAGACCCATCTCCAATGCCACCTTGTCCAGCCCCCTGTCCTGGGCACTCCTAGCTTGGACATCCATCCCCCGCTCCCAGAATGAGCCAGACATCCCTTGGTCAGAGGGAGAATGAGGGGTGGGGATTCCAACTGCCCCGCCAGACTTAGCATCCCCTAAATAGGTCACCCCTTGTCTATCTGAATTAACTGACATTCGGGGCCTGGGAGGGGAACTTGAACAGACACCCTCTCTCCGCTGGATCTCTCGAATAAAAATCAGAGACTGGGGCAAACTTCAAAACAGGACATCCCCAAATCGGCATGAACTTTCAGCTCCTGGAGGTTAATCCCCAAACAATGGGATCCCGGTTTTTATTTAGTTATTTTTAGAGAACCTCCCTCTGTCACCCAGGCTGGAGTGCAGCGGCATGATCTCGGCTCACTGCAACCTCCGCCTTCTGGGTTCAAGCGATTTTCCTGCCTCAGCCTCCCAAGTAGCTGGGATCACAGACGTGCACCACCACGCCCGAATAATTTTTGCATTTTTAGTGGAGACAAGGTTTCACCATATTGGGCAGGCTGGTCTCGAACTCCTGACCTCAAGTCATCTGCCTGCCTTGGCCTCCCAAAGTGCTGGGATTACAGGCGTGAGCCACCACACCGACTGACTTGACATTAAAGGCCGGTGTAGGTCACCAAGGCCTGGCCTCAGGGACAATCGGGGTGGGAGTCAGAGGAGCCGGCCACGAAGACCCTTTTCAGGTGGGTTTGGGGCGCCTCTCTCGCCGTTTGTCCCAGGCGGTGCCATGGGATGCCTTCAGGTAAAAGGACAGGGCTCCCTCTGCCGCGGCTTTCCGTGAAGTGAGCATCCATTAACTGCATCCAGCCTGCCCCAAGGATCCCTGCCCCAAGGATCGCAAGACTTCAGAAGAGGTTGTGCCCGGGGAGGAGGAGGGAGGGAGCCCTGAAGCCGCTGTCTGCCCACTCCGGCAGTCGGAAGCCACCTTCCCTTTCACTTGGTTCACAGTAAGTGCTCAGTCGATATGAACTATTATGAAATCTGGGCTGGACACCTTAAGTGCAGGTCATCCTTTCACCGTCACAACCACCTGAGGAGGAAGGCGCTATGCTCATCCCCATTCTACAGATGTGGAAGCTGAGGCACAGAACTGGACACAAACTCAGTGTTTAGGCCCAAATGGCTGTTTTTTAAAAATTTGAGACAAGGTCTTGCTGTGTCACCCAGGCTGGAGTGCAGGGGCGCAATAATTGCTCACTGCAGACTCGACCTCTTGGGCTCCAGCGATCCTCCCAACTCAGCCTTCCCAGTAGCTGGGACTACAGGTGTGCACCACCACACTATACTAATTAAATTCTTTTTTTAGGTCAGGAGTTCGAGACCAGCCTGGCCAACATGGTGAAACCCCATCTCTACTAAAAATACAAAAATTAGCCGGGCGTGGTGGCACACGCCTGTAGTCCAAGCTACTCGGGAGGCTGAGGCAGGAGAATCGCTTGAACCCAGGAGGTGGAGGTTGCAGTGAGCCCAGATTGTGCCATTGCACTTCAGCCTGGGTGACAGAGTGAGACCTCTGTCTTAAAAAAAAAAAATTTTTTTTGTAGAGATTGGGGGGGGTCTCACTCTGTTGCCCAGCTCAGTCTTGAACTTGTGGCCTCAAGCAACCCTCCCACCTCAGCCTTCCAAAGTGTTGGGATTACAGGCATCAGCCACCATGCCCAGCCTTGACAGACTCTTTCTATGTCTCCCTCTTCCCCTGGGAAACCACAGGCTAGCCCGGGACACTCCAGTCCTGAGGTGGGACTGAGGATGGGGCCACTTACCCGGCAAAGGTGATGGGTCTGAGCAGGAGTCAGAGCCAAGCCAGCGAGGGAGGGATCAACTGAGTAGATAGCCCACGAAGAGAGGGGGCTGAGGACGGGTGGACAGTCTTCTGAATGGTCCCAGGGGCTACTTGGTCCTGGGCTTTATTCCTCTGGCACCTCTGGGCAGCCAATGGGGCCCTGGGGCTGGCTACACCCCCCCCTCCCTCCTGCCAGGACCCACCCCCCTGGCTTGAGGCCACTGAGGCTGTCAGAAGGGAGGTGGAATCTGGCCAAGCTTTCTTCTTTGGCAGCTTCCTCCTGCCTTTCCCACAACCCACTCCTCCTCCCTCTTTCCACTTCCCCTTTCTGTCCTCAGTTTCGTGAAAGGAAAATAAAAAATTGGGACCCCCAACTCACTATGCCAAAAGAAAAAGAATTAAGCTAAAAGCTGAGTCATGTAAGAAACTGCCTTTCCTTTAGTTCCTAAGCAGATAGCTTCAGATGAAAGGTTAAATATTGGCTCCGCATTTTGGGAGGCCGAGGCGGGTGGATCACCTGAGGTCAGGAATTCGAAACCAGCCTGGCCAACATGGTGAAATCCCGTCTCTACTAAAAATACAAAAATCAGCCGGGTGTGGTGGCACGTGCCTGTAATCCTAGCTACTCAGGAGGCTGAGGCACAAGAATTGCTTGAACCTGGGAGGCAGAGGTTACAGTGAGACTAGATCTCGCCACTGCACTCCAGCCTTCACAACAGAAAGAAAAAAAAAAGTTAAATATCTCCACAGGTCGCTACTCTATGTTCACCTTATCTTATGTAAAGTGCCGATTTATTGAGATCAAGACAAATACATAATTGGCTACTTCCCTATCTGCCCCTCTTCTCTTACAAACTGTGGATTTGGTAATGTGGCCATAGCCTCCTTCTTTCCCCTCCAGCTTGCTTTTCTCCTTTAAATACTGACACCTAAAGTCATCTCTGGAGAAAAGCACAGACCTGTCTCCCAGGTGCATTCTTAACCCTGGCGAAATAAATTTCTAAATGGATTGAGTCCTGTCTCAATCTTTTTGATTCTTTTTGATTTACAGATTGGAGACTCATGAAAGGGACCCTGGGTGGAGGTGGCCCTGACCTTTGACAAGTCTCCTACTGGTGCTTGGTGGGTCTTGCTCTGTCACCCTGGCTGGAGTGCAATGGCATGATCTTGGCTCACTGCAACCTCCATCTCCTGGGTTCAAGCGATGCTCCTGTTTCAACCCCCCAAATAACTGGGAGTATAGGCATGTGCCACCACACTCAGCTAATTTTTTGTATTTTTAGTAGAGATGGGGTTTCACCATGTTAGCCAGGCTGGTCTTGAAGTCCTGACCTCAAGTGATCCACCCGCCTCAGTCTCCTAGAGTGCTGGGATTACAGGCGTGAGCCACCATGCCGGCCTTGAGCGATCTTGATTGCCCTCCAAAATAGGACAGTTTGCTGAGGCCTGGGAGCTCCCCACCTCCAGAGAACTCCTGATCTCCCACAATTGGTTGATATCTAAGCTTGATTTCCCTGAACAGCTCCTTTTCTGCGTTTTACTCACTTCCAACAAGGAAGGTGAGTTTTCTGGCTTCCATGATGATGGCAAGCAGGCAGCTCCTTTCTGGAGTTTCGCTTGTGTCCGGCAGGGAAGGCAAGTTTGAGATTTCCCCGCTTCTAGGATGGTAGAGAGCGGTCTTCAGCCTGGGCCCCATGACTAGAAGTTAGGGTTAACAACCAGCTGGTCTTAATTTCTCCCTACTTTTAGAGCGTGCAGTAATCGTATAAATTGCTTGATTGTTTGTTTCCCTTGCTTAACTGTTTTTGTTTCTGTTGTTGTTTTGTTGCTTCTGTCTTTTCCCCATTGGACTGGACCAACTCCATTTGACTTGGTCAAATCTGAAGGAAAGTTTCATATTATGGCGAACAAGGTCTCATGAATTGGCTAAATACCCACAGCTGGAAAAAAAAAAAAAGGAAAAAGAAAAAACAGCCAGCAAAAGAAAAAAGAGAGAGAGAGACAAGGATTTTGATTACCTGAGGGGCATTATTTACATAACAAGGCCATCTTTTGCTAGCCAAGCCAAACTGAAAGAGGCTACATGGCTGTCACCTCACGCTAGTTCAGTAGCTAAGATTCTGTTCCTTTTTCACCACCGTGGCCTGGGCTTGGTTCCTAAATCAAGTCCTTTCTGGTTTGATGTTTGTGTTACTTTTGAAATATTAGCAGTTTGTCCCAGCTAAAATATGGTGATGAGATTTAAAAGGATTTTTTAAAGAGCTCAATGGTTAAAAGCTTAATTAAAGGCGAATATCTAAGATGTGTGTGTGTGTGTGTGTGTGTGTGTATTTATTTATTTATTTATTCATAGGGCCTTAATGCATTTTTTTCTCTCTTAGGATCTGTTTTTTTTTTGAGATGGAGTCTTACTCTGTCGTCCAGGCTAGAGTGCAGTGGCATGATCTCAGCTCACTGCAACCTCCACTCCCTGGGTTCAAGTGGTTCTCCTGCCTCAGCCTCCCAAGTGGCTGGGATTACAGGCGCACACCACCACACTGGGCTATTGTTTTTGTATTTTTAGTAGAGACAGGATTTCACCATGTTGGCCAGGCGGGTCTTGAACTCCTGGCCTCAAGTTATTCACCGGCCTTAGGCTCCCACAGTGCTGGGATTACAGGTGAGAGCCGCCCCACTTGGCCAGGATCTTGTTTTTTGAGAAAAAGTTTTCTTTTTTCTTCTCAGTTGACTGATTTCTGTTTTTTCCAATTTACTTCTGCCTGTCTCCTTTCTCTTGCCACCCTCTACAGCTCAAGGAACCTAAAATAATTTCTAACAGCTTGGGACTCCCTTAAGGAAAACAGAGAAAGTGCCAGACTCCTTTTTGGGGAGAAACCTCTGTTTTTCCATAACCTTATGGAGCCCTAAGAATATAAACAGATAAGTTCCTCTCAGATCTTCAACTGCTTGCTTTTGTTGTGTGTTACCTGACTTCTTTTTTGACTAAAATCTTTATTACAACAGGGGCTACTCTTGAATGTTTAAAACAGGAGAGGGTCTGGATGTGTGGGCCTAGTTATATATAAAAAAATTTTTTTTAAAGATAAGAGAGAGTATGGTTTAGACCCTTAGAGAAATGTCTTTGCAACAAAGTACACTGTAAAAGCATCACACAGCCTAGGTCCACCATATCATTCTCTTTGGAGACCCGGGATTCAGTGTGGGCTCTGTCCAGAGCTCTGAGTTCCAGTTAAAAGATAGAAACTAAATGTAAAACTACCTATCTAAATAAAATATATTTATTTGATAGATTTCTATAACTTAATGTTTGATTTGATTTGCTTTTTTTTTTTTTTTTGAGACTCTGTTGCTCAGGCTGGAGTACAGTGGTGCGATCATGGCTCACTGCAGCCTTGACTTCCCAGGCTCAAACAATCCTCCCACCTCAGCCTCCCAAGCTGGTCTTGAACTCCTGAGATGGGAGGAGGTCGAGCCATCCTCCCATCTCAGCCTCCTAAAGTGTTGGGATTACAGGTGTCAGCCACCATGCCAGCTGTGGCATCCATTTTAAATCTCTCTAACACACCCAGACTCTCTTTTCTCTCTTTCTCTACTTTGAGATAAACATTTTGCTATCTGATTTTCATCTAAGAGTTGTTTATTTAGTATGTAAATTTAAGGCTATCTAGCTGGCAGTTGCCTAGGGTAATGAAACAGGTTATCCAGAAATTAGAGGTTGGGCTGGGCGTAGGGTGACTAGCACTAATTCCAGCATGTTGGGAGGCCTAGGTGGGAGGATGGCTTAAGCCCAGGAGTTTGACACCAGCTTGGGCAACATAGTGAGACCCCATCTCTACAAAAAATAAAAAATTAGCTGGGTATGGTGGCATGCAACTATAGTCCAAGCTACTTGGAAGGCTGAGGTGGGAGGATCACTTGAGCCTGAGTGGTTGAGGCTGCAGTGAGCCATGCCCACACCACTGCACTCCTGCCTGGGCAACAGAGTGAGACCCTGTCTCAGAAAAAAAAAAAAAAAAGAAAGAAACAAAGAAGAAAAGAAAAAGAAATTCAAAGTCTTAAATAGGAGGAAAAAAAAGGAAGTCTTATGAATTTATAAGATCTACCTCTGTCTGTGTCTAATACATGTATCTAATGTTACTACTAAAAATAGACAACAGAGCTCTAATGAAATGATTTAAAGAAAAAAGTACTTAAATCAGATACTTTATCAGAAAAATAGAGACTGTGAGCCCAAATGCTTTCTCAGGATTCACAAAACTTGGGACACCAATTCACTCTGCCAAAATTGAGCTGGAAGCTGAGTCATGCAAGAAGCGGCCTTTCCTTTCGTTCCTAAGCAGAGAGCTACAGTAGAAGCTTAAATATGAGACAAACACATAACTGACTATTCCCCTACCTGCTCCTCTTCTCTTGAAACATGTGGGTTCAGTAGTGTGACCGTACCCTCTTTCTTTTCCTTCCAGCTTCCAGCCTGCTTTTCCCCTTTAAATATTGAAGACGTAAAATCATCTATGGAGAAAGGCAAGGACCTGTCTTCTGGTTGTGCCCTTGCCCTTAACCTTGGCAAAATAAACTTTTAAATCGATTGAGAACTGCCTCAGATACTTCCTTTTTTTTTTTTTTTTTTGAGATGGAGTCACCCTGTTGCCCAGCCTGGAGTGCAGTGGTGAGATCTTGGGTTGTTGCAACCTCTGCCTCCTGGGTCCAAGCAATTCTCCTGCCTCAGCCTCCTGAGTAGCTGGGATTACAGGCACCCACCACCATGCCCTGCTAATTTTTTGTATTTTTGGTGGAGACGGGGTTTCACCATGTTGACCAGGCTGGTCTCGAACTCCTGACCTCAAGTGATCTGCCCACCTTGGCCTCCCAAAGTGCTGGATTACAGGCATGACCCACTGAGCCCGGCCTGATACTTCTTGATTTATAGTTTCTTCACTTGCAAATGGGGACAATATCTATTTTCCAAGGACCGTTAGGAAAATGGAATAAGGATTGTGTGAGATAATGCACTTAAAGTTGCTAGCATGTGCTTGGCACGTAGTAGGTGCCCAAGAAACAATAACAGTAATAAAGCTAGAATGTCTAACAGCCACTGAGCCCTCAGCAAGTACCAAACCACAGAGGACGCGGGTACTGTTATTATCTCCATCTTACAGAAAGGGAAACAGGCACATGAGATTGTCATTTGCCCAAGATCACCCAGGCAATAAGAGGGAGGAGCTGGCCTCAGAACCCAGGCAGTCTGCTCCTAAACCTGCAATCCAAAACAGGCTGGGTGCGGTGGCTCACTCCTGTAATCCCAGCACTTTGAGAGGCTGAGGCAAGCCGATCACTTGAGGTCAGGAGTTCGAGACCAGCCTGGGCAACATGGTGAAACCCTGTCTCTACTAAAAATACAAAAATTAGTGGGATGTGGTGACGGGCACCTGTAATCTCAGCTACTCGGGAGGCCGAGGCAAGAGAGTTGCTTGAACCCGGGAGGAGGAGGTTGCAGTGAGCTGAGATTGCACCACTTCACTCCAGCCTGGGTGACAGAGTGAGACTCTGTCTCAAAAAAAAAAAAAAAGTTTCTTACCCCATCAATATACCCCATAAGTATATACACCTACTGTGTACCCACCAAAATTTTTTAAAATTAAAAAAAAACTAAAAACCGCCAAGCAGAGCAGTTCTGTATTGCCTTCCCCCCTCATCCTTTTATGACCTTTGGCATGAAGGGGTGGGGGGGGGGGGGTAAGACCCCAGGGGAGCAGGGTTCAAATCCTGGCTCTGTTGTTTCCTAGCTGTGTGGCAATGGACAAGCTATTCTGCCTTCTGGAGCCTCGATTTGCTTATCTGTGAAATGGGAATGATAATGGTACCTCCCTTCTAGGCTTAGGTGACTTGACAATGCATGTGTGAGAGGGGCCTCGAATTGACTGAGTGTTTGGTAAGTTAGCAGCCATCGTCATCGTCATCATCATCATCATCATCACAGAACTGGAAGGTCTTGCATCTGAAAACTCTCCATGCCCCATGCCAAGCCTCTTGTTTGTTCCCAGCTGTGCGGAGATCTGTCTGTCCACAGGGCAGCACACACATACACACACACACACCATACACATGCACAGAGGTCTGTCTGGCTGGCTCTCTCCCTGGCCCCCTCAACAAAGCTCTCTTGTCAAGCTGGCCAGGACGAGAATATTGATGAGACAGAGGGCAACCAGGGTACAAACAGCCTGCTCAGCCGTCGTCCTCTGTGGGACAAGCTGTCACCTCTCCCTGGCCCCCTCTGACCTTCCATGGCGCTCCCAGGCTCCCTCCCCAGTGGAGCATCCATGGGTGAGTTTTGGGGATGAGGGGTGGCAAACCTAGGGGGAGGCGGGGATGGCGAAGTTCACGTGGAGACAGAGCCTCCCTCGTGTGCACCTGAGTGTATACAGCTGGTGCTCCCATTGCTGGAGCACCTCCCAGTGCCCGATCCCATGCCTTATGTTTCCCAGGTGGGGTCTCTCATAAGCCCCAGACAACCACAGGAATGGGCATTTTGATTCTCAAGGTACAGGTGACGAATAGGCTCAGAGGTTGGGTAAAAGTGTCCATGGGAGCACCAGGTAGTGAATGGCAGTAGAGGAAGGTCAGCTCAGGAATCCTGAGTCCTTTGAGGACACAGGGTCAGTGGAAAGGGTTGAGCAGGAAGGGGGTGGGAGAGCTTGCCTGCCTGGTAACCTTCAGAGGTCTCAGATTTAGGGTTTTGATGATATCTCCACATGAGGTTACCCACGAAGTCAGGGAGTTCAGACTGAAGGAAGACAGCAATTCACTATCTTACACCACCAAATTAATTTACACTCCAGTGTCATGATTGAATATGGGGGGGGGGAGATGGATTTGGAGCTGCAACTGGTAGGGACAAGATGACGAACTCTCTAGACCTCTGCATGTTGTTCCATTTGCTTCACCAAGAATGTATCAGGCTGGGCGTGGTGGCTCACACCTATAATCCCAGCACTGTGGGAGGCCAAGGTGGGAGGATCACTTGTGCCCAGGAGTTCGAGACCAGCCTAGGCAACATGTGAAACCCTGTCTCTACAAAAAATACAAAAAGTAGCCGGGTGTGGTGGTGTGCGCCTATAGTCCCAGCTACTTGGGAGGCTGAAGTGGGAGGATCACTTGAGCCTGGGAAATGGAGGCTGCAGTGAGCCAAGATTGCACCACTGTACTCCAGCCTGGGTGACAGAGCAAGACTCTGTCTCAATTAAAAAAAAAATGCATCAAAGCTGAGTGTGGTGGTGTGCACCTGTCTACTCAGGAGGCTGAGGTGGGAGGATCGCTTGAGCTCAGGAGTTCAAGATCAATCTGGGCAATGTAACAAGACTCTGTCTTAAAAGAAAAAAAAAAGAATGCATCAGTGTTGTGATCTGAAAAACATCAACTTAAGAAAATGGATGATATAAGAACCAAAAAAGGGGAAAAAGACAAAATATATATCACTGTCTTTGATATCCCGTCTGGGAATATGCTTTTTAAAATAACAACTCGACTGAGATATAAATCATGTAGCAATACAATTCACCCATTTAGAGTATGAATTTCAGAACATTTTCATCACCCCAAAAAGTCTCTCCCTATCCTTCCCTCCCCACTCCAGGACCCTGGCAACCAGTCTGTATTCTGTCTCTGCGGATCTGCCTGTTTTTTTTTTTTTTTGAAATGGAGTCTTACTCTGTCACCCAGGCTGGAGTGCAGTGGCACAGTCTTGGCCCACTGCAACCTCCACCTCCCAGGTTCAAGTGATTCTCCTGCCTCAGCCTCCCAAATAGCTGGGATTACAGGTGTGCACCACCATGCCCAGGTAATTTTTGTATTTTTAGTAGAGACAGGGTTTCACCATGTTGGCCAGGCTGGTCTCGAACTCCTGACCTCAAGTGATCCTTTGCCTCAGCCTCCCAAGTGCTGGTATTACAGGCGTGAGCCACCGTGCCCAGCTGCCCTGTTCTTGTGTCATTTGGTGTAATGGAATCACACAATGTGTGGGCTTTTGTGTCCAGCTGCTTTCACTGGTGGCACGTTTTCACGATTCATCCACATCGCAGCACGTACCAGTCCTCCATTCCTTCTCATGAATAATATTATTCCATCCTATGGATAAGCCACATGTTGATTATCTGTTCATCAATTCATGGACATTTGCTTTCTGAGTACATATTCATTTTTTCTTTTTGAGACAAGATCACACTCTATTGCCCAGGCTGGAGTACAGTGGCACAATCATGGCTCACCACAGCCTCAGCCTCCCAGGCTCAAGTGATCCTCCTGCCTCAGCCTCTCAAGAAGCTGGGACTACAGGTGTGCACCACCACGCCCAGTTAATTTTTGTATGTTTTTGTAGAGACGGGGTTTCACCATGTTGCCCAGGCTGGCCTTGAACTCCTGGGCTCAACAAATCCACCTGCCTTGGCCTCTCAAAGTGCTGGGATTACAGGCATGAACCACTGAGCCTGGCAACCTCTTAATTTTTAAATATGCAACAATAACAACAAAAAACCCTACACATGCCGTACATGTGTGTTTCTTTGTCCCGTCATGTGGATGGGCTGACTGAGAACCTAAGAGGACGAGGGGCTTGCCCTAGGTCACTCTGGGGAGAATGGGGGCAGAACCAGTTAGAGTGGCCACGTGATAGGGGCATTCTGACCAGTCCATCAGCTGCTGGAGGGGTCTCAGGGAAAGGCTCGAACCTCAGAGGGATTAGTTCATACCTGTGATTGTAGTATCCCAGGCTTGTTCATTTCCAGACAGCAAGCAAATCACTTCCCTGAGAGGCTGTGTAACCTTGTGGTGGACAGCATGGGCTGTGCAGTCGGACAGGCCCAAGTTCAAATCCAACCTCTGCCATCAACTTGCTATGTGACCTTGAACAAGTCACTTAACCTTTCTGTGCTTTGGTTTCTTCAACTAAGAGTAGTTTCCACCTCTTAGATTTGTTATGAGGCTTAAGTAGCTTAATTGATGTAAAGCTGTAAGGACAGTTCCCAGCACATAGTCAGCACTCAAGAGGTGATGGCTGGACCAGGCGCTGTGACTCACGCCTGTAATCCCAGCACTTTGGGAGGCCGAGGCGGGTGGACCACTTGAGCCCAGGAGTTGGAGACCAGACTTAGCAACGTGGCAAGACCCTGTCTCTACAAAAAATACAAAAAAAATCAGCCAGGCTTGGTGGCAAGTGCCTGTAGTCCTGCTACTTGGGGGGCTGAGGTGGGAGGATCGCTTGAGCCCAGGAGGTCGAGGCTGCAGTGAGCCGAGATTGTGCCACTGCACTGCAGCCTGGGGAACAGAGTGAGAGGCTTTGTCTCAGAAAAAAAAAAATAGAGATGGTCATTTTTATTTTCTGGTGCTTAAGAGGGCATTAGGGCATTCATGTCTGTAGCTCCGGGTGCTGGAGCACAAGGGTGCTCTTCTCTTACCTAGTTTTCCTTTAAAAGGTCTTGGATGACTGGGTGAGCCTGTAGTCCCAGCACTTTGGGAGGCCAAGGTGGGCAGATCACCTGAGGTTGGGAGTTCAAGATGAGCCTGACCAACATGGTGAAACCCCTTCTCTACTAAAAATACAAAAAATTATCCGGGTGTGGTGGCTCATGCCTGTAGTCCCAGCTACTCGGGAGCCTGAGGCAGGAGAATCACTTGAACCTGGGAGGTGGAGCTTGCTGTGAGCCGAGATCGCACCACCGCACTCCAGCCTGGGCGACAGACGGAGACTCCGTCTCAAAAAAGGAAAAAAAAAAAAAAAAAGAAGAAAGAAAAAAGTCTTGGGAAGCAAGAAGGAAAGTGCAAGTCACCTTCTGTTCATTTCGCAGATGGACAAACTGAGGCCCAGCTCCATCTAAAACAAGCCTGAAATCCTAGGAGGAGGATGGTGGAGTCCCGCCAGGGAGCTTTGTCAAGTGCCTCTGTCATCTCCACTTCCTGGATCAGTTACATCATACCCTCCAGGGAAGTGTCCCGGGGGATGGCCAGATCAGCCTGTCCTTTGTGGCAGGAGGTGGGGATTCTGACGGTTGTTTTCACAGCTCGGGAGGACAGGCAGCTCTCACCTCTGTTTGCCCTCCCTGGCCAGTGCAGCCAGCTCCTGAGTCTCGTGGTTAACTAAGGTCTCAGACCTCAGGCTGAAACTGCTACCCTGCTGTGTGACCTTGGGGTGGTGGTCACCTAAGTTCCCTTAGCCTCAGTTTCCTGCCTGGAGAGATGGGAACGATGATAGCTACTAGGTATTGTGAGTCTTATAGATAATGGCAGCCTAGGGCCAGGCACCGAGTAAGGACTCAAAGAATAGCAGCTGCTATTTTAAAATTTAATTTAATTAATTTATTTTTTTGAGATGGAGTCTTACTCTGTTGCCCAGGCTGGAGTACAGTGGCGCGATCTTGGCTCACTGCAGCCTCCGCCTCCCAGGTTCAAGCGATTCTCCTGCTTCAGCCTCCCAAGTAGCTGGGATTACAGGTGCATACCACCATACCTGGCTAATTTTTGTATTTTAAGTAGAGATTAAGAGATTAAGTTTCACCATGTTGGCCAGGATGATTTCGAACTCCTGACCTCAGGTGATCCGCCCACCTCAGCCCCCAAAGTGCTGGGATTACAGGCGTGAGCCACCGCACCCGGCCCCAAACGTCTTGATGTGTCTTTCTCTGTCACATGCACTGCACCTGCTGCAGCAGGAAGGCCAGGTGGCCTTACCTTCAAAATACCCAGAATGTGACCACTTCTCACCAAGGTCTGCTGCCGCCACCCTGCTTCAAGCCCCTGAGTCCTGTGCCTGGACCCTTGCAGGAGTTCCGCACTGGGGTCCCTGGCAGCTGATTCCCCACACAGCAGCTGGAGGGATCCTATTCTGCTGGAGTCAGGTCACATTGCTGCTCTGCTCAAGAGCCTCCCATGGCTCCCGTCTTACTTGGAATAAAAGCTGAAGTCCTGACGGTGCTTCAGCCTCCAAGGCTCTGCGTGATGTGGCTCCATTCTCTTTCTGTCCTCTTCCTCGCCGACTGTCCCCTCCATTCATTCTACTGCAGCCACACTGGCCTCTCTGCTGTTCCTGCTGCACTCGGGGCACCCTCCTGCCTCAGGGCCTTTGCACCTGACCTTTCCTGCCTGTCTCCGTCTTCCCCTAGATATCAGGGTGTCTCACCCCCTTACCTCCTGTAAATATTTACTTACATGTCACCTTCACAGAGAGGACTTCCCTGGTCCCTCTATTGAAAACCACACAGCCTGTTTTTGTTTTTTTTTGGTAGCACTTGCCATTATCTTACCCGCCATTTCCCTGGTTAGTGCCTGTTCCCCAACTCCAGCTGCACCCCACTAGACTGTGAGCTCCAGGAGGGCAGGGTTTTTGCCTGTTTTGTTTCCTGCTGAATTCCCAGTGCCTAGAACAGTGCCTGGCATAAGGTAAGTGCTCAATAAACATCGGTTAATTCATTACCAAGTGAAATGAACAAAATATCTGAGAAGCATAAGAAGAAGAAGAGGAAAAATGCTAAATGATCACCCGTGCTGTGCAGGCATGGGGCTGGGGAGCATCGCAGTAGCTCTGACAGTGGGCTCTTGTAATGATCGTGACTGAGGAGCTCTGGGAGACCTTGCTCAAAGTGCATACAGTGTCTGCGGGTGGTGGCTCATGCTTGTAATCCCAGCACTTTGGGAGGCCTAGGCAGGCGGATCACCTGAGGTCAGGAGTTTGAGACCTGCCTGGCCAACATGATGAAAATTCTTTTCTACTAAAAATACAAAAATTACCTGGGCGTGGTGCCATATGCCTGTAATCCCAGCTACTCAAAAGGCTGAGGCAGGAGAATTGCTTGAACCTAGGAGGTGGAGGCTGCAGTGAGCCAAGGTCACACCACTGCACTCCAGCCTCGGTGACAGAGTGAGACTCCAACTCAAAAAAACAAAAAACACACACAAAAAAGTGCATTCGGGCATATGGCCCCTCTCTTCCGGAGGGAGGGCCCTCTGAGATCTTTCTGTTAGCCCCTTATACCTGCTCTAAGCCAGTATGTGTTTCCACCGCTTGCCCAGCTTTCTTACTACCCAGTTTTCACGCATTCATCATTCTAAATGCAAAAGCACCCCAAATGTTCTAAAGACTCAGTGCTTGATAAGGCCCCTGGAACGTTTTTTGCCTTCTGCCCTTCCTTTTGCAGGACTGGTGTTTCTGCACACCCTCCACTTTCTCCAGCCCCTGTGCAAGTAAGGCTCCACCCCAGACCCCCTACTCAAGGACAGTGGTTCTCAAAGTGGGGCGATTTTGCAACCCGGGTGTGGGCATTGGCCAATGTCTGGAGACATTTTGGGGTGTCAAGCCTGGGATAGAGGGTGCTATTAGCATCTGGTGGGTGGAGGCCAGGGCGGCTGCTATGCACAGGACTGGAAGATGTAACGTGATCTCCTGCAGTGCACATGACTGCCGCTCACACCAAAGAATGATCTGGCCCCAAATGTCAGTAGTGCTGAGGTTGGGGAATATGGGGTGAGTCCACCTCCAGGTGGGGCACTTGTCATCAGATACCGGTTGAGTCATGAGTCCTGGGTCTGGGGGGCTGGGAGGTCAGTCAATTACCAGAATGCAGAAGTCTGAAAAACATCTCAAAAGACCAATCTAAGGTTCTATAATAGCAATGTTTCTATAGGAGTAATTGGGGAAGTCACAAATCTTGTGACCTCTGGTCATATGACTCTCTCTCTTTTTTTTTTTTTTTTTGAGACAGAGTCTCACCCTGTTGCCCAGGCTAGAGTACAGTGGTGCGATCACAGATCACCACAGCCTCGAACTCCTGAGCTCAAGGGATCCTCCTGCCTCAGCCTCCTGAGTATCTGGGACTACAGCTGTGCCACCACACCCAGCTCATGTTTTTTTCTGTTAGTAGAGATGGGGTCTCAGTATGGTGCCCAGGCTGGCTTTGAACTCCTGGGCTCAAGGAATCCTCCCACCTCAGCCTCCCAAAGTCCTAAAGTTATAGTCGTGAGCCACCACTCTCAGCCCTCACATGACTGTTAAACAGTAAGGGATTACAGAGATTGCACTTAGATTGTAGCAGAATTCAAGCCCCTTTCATAATCTCAATTTCATGATCTTTTATTAGTTTTACAAAAGTGATTTCAGTCCCTGAGCAAGGAGGGGGTTAGCTTTGTTTTTTTTGTTCTTTTTTTTTTTTTTGGGACAGAGTCTTACTCTGTTGCCCAGGCTGGAGTGCAGTGGCATGATCATGGCTCACTGTAGCCTTCACCTTGTGGGCTCAAGTGAGCCTCCCACCTTAGCCTCCTTAAGAGTTGGGACTACAGGTGTGCATCATGCCTGGCTAATTTTTATTTTTTGTAGAGACAGGGTCTCACTATGTTGCCCAGGCTGGTCTTGAACTCCTGGCCCAAGCGATCCTTCCACCTCAGCCTCCCAAAGTGCTGGGATTACAGGTGTGAACCACCGTGACTGACTTTGCTTCAAAGTTAAACTATAAATTAAATTAAATTCTCATGGTGGGCCAGGCATGGTGGCTCACACCTGTAATCTCAGCATTTTGGGAGGCCAAGGTGGGAGGATTGCTTGAGGCCAGGAGTTCGAGACCAGCCTGGGCAACATAGGGAGACTCTGTCTCTAAAAAATAAAAATAAAAATGAAATTGGTGGGCACGCACCTGTAGTCCCAGCTACTCTGGAGGCTGAGGTGGGAGGATTGTTTGAGCCCAGGAGATTGAGGCTGCAGTGAGCTGTGATCTTGCCACTGCACTCCAGCCTGGGTGACAGAGTGAGACCCTGTCTCAAAGAAAAAAGAATTCCTCCCATGGTTGGCTTGGCCTATACCTGGGAATGAGGATGGCCAGCCCATGAGGCTAGAAGCAGGCTGGAGTCCGCAGCCAGTGAGGCTAGAAGCAGGCTGGAGTCCGCAGCCAGTGAGGCTAGAAGCAGGCTGGAGTCCGCCGGGCTGAACTTCTCACTGTCATATTCTTTGCAAAGGCAGTTTCGGCCTCTGTGAATTCTTTCAGCTCAGACGCTGTGGCTGTGAATTTCTATCTGTTGGGACAAGAGCATCCAGGTTGGATGTGGGGTCCCTGGAAGATTGGTCCCATGGCCTATTTGCTGGGCAAGCTGGAGCAAGTTACTTAACCTTTCTGTGCTTCAGCTTCTCCCTTGATCACTGATTCCTTTCCTTTTCAAGGGCAAGAGGACAGAGGGAAAGTTCCTCTGTATAAAGGTCTCAAAGGTAAACACTTACAAGGGGTCAATCAAGGGGCGGTTAGGTGTTGGGGCTGCAGTAGGGAGAGGTTAGGACAGCGAGACACATAGAGCCATGTCCCTTTACAGAGGACAGTGTGCCCCAGCTCCAGCCAGGGGGAATGTGACCTCCCAGTGTGAGACCCTCTCTGGTCTCCAGTGCTCCAGTGATTTGTCATCTTGGCCAGGGTTGATGAGTCTGAGAACTTAGGTAAGATGCTCTGTTGTATTGGGTGTTGGGAGACCTGCACCCGAATTCCGGCACAGTTATTACTCACTAGCTGGGGCTGCCTGAGCCTCAGCTCTTTTGCCATTTAGGGGAACTAAGCCTTCGGCCTTGGGAAGCATATGACGAAGAGTCCAGGGTTAAATCTGCAAATTGGGAAAGGAAAGGCTAATCTCAGGCGTCAGAGGCTTCGTCCCTCTTCTCCACGCAATTCCCTTGCCCTGGGAACAGGAAGGTCAGCCAGGGGTGAGGATGGTGTAATGAAGCTTAATGAATAACCCAGGGGACTGGCCGGGGTGGGTGTTTTGCGGCCCAAGGTGTCAGGGACAGGGGCTGGCTGACGAACATGGCTCTGGTGGGGACAGGTCAGTGACCTGGCCCACCTCTCCAGCCTCATCTGCTCTCCAATGCAGCCACGTGGCTTCCCCAGCCCATCCTCTTTGTCACCCAAGCCAGGAGCTCTGGAGCCTCGTCCCTCTGGGTCTGAGCCCTGACTCTGCTACTGCTGTGTGACCTTGGGAAAGCGACTTGGCCTCTCTGGCCCTATTTCCACAATGTAGGGTTTATTATAATACTTACTTTTCCAGGTAGTTGTTAGCATTCTGTAATATAATGACATCATGGTACTTTGAACGCTTACGTGCCACCTTTGCAACTTTTGCCATATTGTCCCATCACCTCTTTTATATTAGCAATACAAAACAATAGCAGCTGGGCGCCGTGGCTCATGCCTATAATCCCACCACTCTGGGAGGCCAAGGCAGGCAGATCACTTGAGGTCAGGAGTTTGAGAGCAGCCTGGCCAACATGGTGAAACCCTGTCTCTACTAAAAATACAAAAATCAGCCAGGCGTGGTGGTGCAAGCCTGTAATCCCAGCTACTTAGGAGGCTGAGGCAGGAGAATCCCTTGAACCCGTGAGGCAGAGTTTGCAGTGAGCCAAGATCGCGCCATTGCACTCCAGCCTGGGCGACAGAGTGAATGGTGAGACTCTGTCTCAAAAAACAAAACAAAATAAAGCAAAAGCAACAGCAGCGAACACAGAGCACTAACTACTGTCCTAATATTTTCCTGCATTAATGCATTTGATCCTCACATCCACTGTACTAGGGAAGTAGTGTTTTATCCCCATCTTACATTTGAGGGAACAAGGCACAGAGAGGTTAAGTGACTTACAAAAGGTCACAGGGTCACACAGTGAGAAAGTGGCAGAACAAGTATTTGTATCAGAGCCTGGCTGCAGGTCTGTGTTTTAACTACTAGGCATGCTGCTTGTTCATGCCAGAAACTACTACTACTATTATTGCTACTAATAATTTATATACAAATATATATATTATATACAAATATATATATATTTATATACAAATATATATAATATACAAATATATATTTATATACATATACATATTTATATACAAATATATATATTTATATACATATATATTTGTATACAAACATGTATATTTGTATACAAATATATATATTATATACAAGTATATATATTTATATAAATATATATTATATACAAATATATATATTTATAAACATATATATACACACACACATATATATATTTATATATGTTTTTTAAGACGGAATTTCGCTCTTGTTGCCCAGGCTGGAGTGCAATAGCACGACCTCGGCTCACTGCAAACTCCACTTCCCCGGTTCAAGTGATTCTCCTGTCTCAGCCTCCCGAGTAGCTGAGATTACAGGCGCCCACCACCATGTCCAGCTAGCTTTTTGTATTTTTAGTAGTGATGGGGTTTCACTACATTGGCCACGCTCAAACTCCTGACCTCAGGTGATCCAGCTGCCTCGGCATCCCAAAGTGCTGGGATTACAGGCATGAGCCACCATGCCTGGCCAATTAATATATTTTTTAAAGAGGCTCCATTTTTAAACTTTAATACCTACCTTAGCTTCTTCCTAAGCCATCATATCCATGAAACTATGGGTCTGATATTTTATATGTACATACACATACATATGTATACACATATATATATACCTACATACATACACACATCTTTCCTAATGCACACAGAAATAGATTGCCAACTATTAAAAAACCTTTGGGGGCTGGGCGCAGTGGCTGTTGCCTGTAATCCGAGCATTTTGGGAGGCTAAGGTAGGAGGATTGCTTGAGGTCAGGAGTTCAAGATCAGCCTGGGCAGCACAGTGAGACCTCGTTTGTAAAACAAACAAACAAACAAACAAACAAACAAATAAACAGTGTGGGTTACGCTGGACAGCATGCACGTGTTGGTGTACAGTAGACATGCACTAAATGCAGCTAGTCTGCTTCTTGTCAAAGTCTGAGCTGTGTGCTGAGTCTCTGCCTACTTCAAGAAGCCCTCCCTGATCTTGCCCCATCCCCAGCTACCCTATGGGGACTTTCTGCCCTCTGTCATCTTAGGAAGTGTTATTGTTGCTACCGAATTGGGTGTCTTCCTCTCCCCTCCATGCTGGGGGCCACTTCAAGGCACAAACTGGATTTTATCACCTCTGTGTCCCCAGTACCCAGTCCAGGACAAGGCACCCAACAAGGATGGATGTGTGTCTAAAGCGAGGATGGGTAGAAACTTGCCAGAGTCCACATTAAGGATCACGGCCAAGCAGCTCCATCTAACCCCAAGTGGCTGGGAGTTAATCATCAAACCTGGGGAGATCAGAAACAGCCCAAGAAGGACACACAACATCTGTGATGCCAGGTCTTCCTGTTCCCACTTTCCACATAGGGAAACTGAGGCCCAGAGATGGGCACGAGCTGCTCAGGTTCACCCAGTGAGATGGTGCAGAGACAAGACATGAATTTGACCATGTCATTCCCCCCACCTAAAGCCTTCTGTGGCTCCCTAGTGCCCCTGGGTAAGGTCCAAACTCTGGATTGGTACAGGCATCCCTGTGGACTCTGATCTCTGCCCACATCTCCAGCCTCAACCCCACTTGCTTCCCCACCCCTGCCTTCTCCCTCCCAGCCCCACTGGATACTACCCTGACCCTGGAATATATCATGTTTTTCATTTCCAGACCTTTGCACTCCCTGTGCCTGACTCCTGGCTCCACTCAGACTTCCCCTCCTCCAGGAAGCCTCCCCAGCCCCCCAGGGCCAGGCGGGGTGCCTGCTCTGGGTTCCACAGCCCTGCCCCACCCTGCCAGCTGCTAACATCTGATAGCACTAATAAGTGCTCTCTAATGGCCCTCTCTAAGGGCTTTGTGAAGGCAGAGGACATGCTATTTTGTTTGAGGCCAAAGTTCCAGGGATTGGCACATAGTAGGTGTCCAATAAACATTTAATGAATGAATGAATGGTCAGTCATTCATCTGAGTAGCAAATAATTGCTTGGGTTCTCATGCTGCGTGTAAAATATCCGAGACGGAGAGGTGCTTCAGACAAAAATATACCTTTCCCATGTCACAAATAATAATTATAATAATTGTTTCCTTGGCCAGGTGCAGTGGCTCACGCCTGTAATCCCAGCACTTTGGGAGGCAGAGGCAAGCAGATCACCTGAGGACAGGAGTTCGAGACTGGCCTGGCCAACATGGTCAAACCCTGTCCCTACTAAAAATACAAAAATTAGCTGGCGTGGTGGTGGGTGCCTGTAAACCTGGCTACTTGGGAGGCTGAAGTGGGAGAATCGCTTGAATCCAGGAGGCGGAGGTAACAGTGAGCCGAGATCGCACCATTGCACTCCAGCCTGGGGGACAAGAATGAAACTGTGTCTCAAAAAAAAAAAGTTCCCTTGTCCTTGTTTTCCCATCCCAGACCTAAGCTGACCCCAACAGTGGTTCAGCATCCGGGACAATCACTAGACCTAAAATGAGAAGACATGGAGATGCCTGCATCCCGGAAGAGATGGCCCAGGGCCAGGGGTAAAGGCTGTCTCTGCCCCTTGCTGTCTGGGAAGCTTTGGCCAAATAAGTTCCCTTTTCTGAGTTTCAGTTTGCTCATCTGTCAAATGAGACAGGGTGGTGCATGAGTCATAGGCAGTGCCCGGGAAAGCGGTGAGGGTTGCTCTCATCCCCTCTCCTCCTCCGTCTTCACCCGGAGGCTTAGGGTCTGGAGCTTTCTCTTTAACAAAGGAGGAGGGACCAAGGTTGCCGGAAGCTGCCTGAAGCTGGACAGAGCCGGTTCCTGGAAAGAGCTGGTTCCCTGGCAGGCTGGAGGGCAGGAGCTGGGGCCACGCTGGTCTGGGATAGTTGGGCAGGGAGGTAAGGGGTCTGGGGCCAGCTGGGGCCCCTGGGGCTCAGTGTGTGTGTGAATGAGAGGCTGATGAGAGGCTGCAGGAGTTTGGGAGGCTTTGGGCAAAGTCCAAGCTGAGCAGGTGGGAGTGAGAGGGCCTGAGCGTGTTCTAGGCCCTCCTGGGAATGTCGATTGAATTCAGGGTGCCCTGCAGAAGAAAGTGTTGTGCTGGGGACCCTGAAGGGCGAGAGTGGGTTCTGCCTGCCAGAGGGGCAGGGTTGGGCATTCTGCCAGCCAAGGGGCCAGCCCGAGGTGTCCCAGCCCTGGCACCAGGGATTTGGCTGTGGAGTGCCACCAAGGTGGCCTCTGGGGAAAGGCTTTGGGGACAAGTGAGGTGGACAGCACTGGTGGTCCTTACCTCAACTCATAGATGTGACAGGTAAGGCCCAGTGACAAAAGTGACTTGGCCAAGGTTGGCATGACTGGGACCTGAGCCTGAGCCCCCTGCTTTCCCCTGGGTTATTCCACAGCAGGGAGACCCAGGTCCCCCATTTCAGCCCTGGTGGCTGCCATACGGGACAAGAGGTGTGTGTCCCTGGGCCAAGACAGCTCAGTCCCAGACCTCAGGTGCCTGATGGGGTCTGGGGTTGATAAGGCTGTTGGCAACTTGGGGCTTTTTCATTTAACTGATGCCTGCTGTCCTCTTGTGAGTCAGTATAACCAAGAGGGCTGGGGAAGCCTGGAAACTGAGCCAGGAGCATTTGGTTCCAAAGGACAATTGGCAATAAATATTAAATGCATGCAGCTTTCATAATAGTAACGATAACACTAGTATATTAGAGAAAGTATAGCATCGCGGTTAATAGCACAGATGCCAAAGACACTGCCTGGTGTGAATTCTGGCTATGCTGTTTCTAACTGTGTGAACTTGGATAAGTTACTTAATCTCTCTGGACCTCAGGTTCACTGTTTATAAAATGGAGTCAATGGTGAGTTAATGACTCATCTGTTGTGAGCCAACAGGTGGCTCACACCTGTTATCCTAGTGTTTTGAGAGGCAGAGACAAGAGATTTACCTGAGGCCAGGAGTTCAAGACCAGCCTGGACAACTCAGCAAAACTGCATCTCTATAAAAATTAAAATATCAGCCGGATACAGTGGTGCATGTCTACAGTTCCAGCTACTCAGGAAGCTGAGGTGGGAGGATTGCTTGAGCCCGGGACTTCAAGGTTACAGTGAGCCATGATCGTGCCACTGCACTCCAGCCCAGGCAACAGAGTGAGACCTTGTCTCTAAAACAAACACCAAAAAAACAAGAAAGCGGAAGGATTATGGAGTAGGGGGAGTTCATCCTGACAATCCCAGGATCCCCAGGGGAAAAATCTGGGGATTTCACCAAAAAGGAAGAGAGACCCAATTCCAAGTGGACAGACACCCAACATGGGTGCCCTTACCATGCAGGCTCATTGAATCCTCACAATAGTCCTGCCATGTACACGCTCTTCTTGCAGTTTGTTGTGTGGTTGGTTGGTTCTCATTTTTCGGGTCTAATTTTTAATTTTTTATTATTTTTTTTGAGACAGAGTTTCCCTCTTACTCTCTAGGCTGGAGTGCAATGGCGCGATCTCGGCTCACTGCAACCTCGCCTCACCGCAACCTCGCCTCTCAGGTTCAAGCAATTCTCCTGCCTCAGCCTCCCGAGTAGCTGGGATTACAGGCATGCGCCACCATGCCCGGCTAATTTTGTATTTTTAGTAGAGACGGGGTTTCTCCATGTTGGCCAGACTGGTCTTGAACTCTTGACCTCAGGTGATCCGCCTGCCTCTGCCTCACAAAGTGCTGGGATTACAGGCATGAGCCACCGCGCCCTGTCTCAGTTCTTAGTTTTAATGGTCACTTCCTCTAAGAGGTCTTTCCTGACCTCCATACCCAAAGTAGGTCCCCTTGTTCTTCTCTTTAGGACTCCCTATATGCGTGTTTCCCTCTTAGAAGTTTTCAACATTTCTGATTATTTTGTTTGTCTATGCAGTTATTTGTTAAGTGCCCATCTCATCAGGCTATAATTCAGCTCCAAGGTTGATGTCTATCTTGTCCACAGTGGTATCCCCTGTTGCTAGGTCAGGGCCTGCATCTTGTAGGTGCCCTGTAAACATGCTAAAGTAAGGGTAAGCAGGTCACCATGCTCAAAGCATGACACAAGGTATCAGTGAGATAACGTCTCCAGAGGACTCAGCTGATGACTGGCACATAATAGGGACTCAACAAATGACAGATGTTATTCTCTCTCTCTCTCTTTTTTTTTTTTTAAAGACAGTCTCACTCTGTTGCCCAGGCTGGAGAACAGTGGTGAGATCTTGGCTCACTGCAATCTCCACCTCCCAGGTTCAAGCAATTCTCCCACCTCAGCCTCCCAAGTAGCTGGGACTACAGGTGTGCACCACCACACCCGGCTAATTTTTGTATTTTTAGTAGAGACGGGGTTTCACCATGTTGGCCACGCTGGTCTTGAACTCCTGACCTCAAGGGATCCACCCGCCTCAGCCTCCCAAAGTGCTGGGATTATAGGCATGAGCCACTGCACCTGGCCAATGTTATTCTTATTAACTTACACCACAACCTGTGAGTTGGGGACTGTTTTTATCCCCATTTTAGAGAAGGGGAAACAGGCACAGAGAGGTTGTGACACTTGTTTGGGTCACACAGCCAGGAAGTCGGAGCTGGTTTCTAACTTTTGCTTCTGGTCGACCCCAAAGCCTGTGCTCTTGGGGTCCAGGGTTGAGCTGAGGCCTAGGCTGGGGTATGCGGCATTTGGGGATCAGTGATGACCCATGGGCTTCTTTCCCCTGATGCCCGAAGCTGAGAGGTGCCCTGGGTGGGACTGGGAAGAGGTGGCTCAGGCTGTGCCCTGCCCGAGGGGGCCCTGAGGATTCTCAAGGCTATTCTGACAAGGGCGTGGGGTCAAACTCAGGGCCAAGAGACCCTGATCTCTCTGATCTTGGAACCCCAGCCATGACTTAAGGGTGGACAAGAAGGTTAGGTTTGTGAGTGGGCAGGGGAAGTTGCAGCGCCCCCCCTAGCGGCCAATAATGGAATGGTGGGGACCGGCCCAGTGCTTTTCTGCCTGGGACAAGAGGAGCTGGCTGTATTTTTTCCTTTTTTTTTCTCTACTATTTTTCCTCCCTCTCATTTCCTCCATCTCTTCTTTTCGTCCTTACCCACTGGTCCATTCACACACAGCTCCTCGGCTTCAAACCTCTCAAAGGGCTGAGCGCGGTGGCTCACGGATGTAGTCCCAGCACTTCGGGAGGCCGAGGTGGGCAGATCACTTGAGCTCAGGAGTTTGAGACCAGCCAACATGGTGAAACCCCGTCTCTACAAAAAATACAAAAAATTAATCAGGCGTGGTGACGTGTGCCTGTGGTCCCAGTTACTCGGGAGGCTGAGGCAGGAGAATCGCTTGAACCCGGGAGGCAGAGGGTGCAGTGAGCAGAGATTGCACCACTGCACTCCAGCCTGGGCAAGAGCGAGACTCCCTTTCAAAACACCACGACCACCACCAACACCACCACCACCTCCACCACCACCTCCCAATGGCTTTCCATTGCAGGTAGAATTTGAATAACAACCAAACTCCTCTCCGTGGGCGGGAACCCCCTGCTGGCACCCTTGTCCACATCTCCGCCCTCACCCCCTACCCTCACCTCCTGCCCCAAACCCCTTCTGTCTGCATCCGCGGCACCCCAAAGTGCATTTCTCCCTCGAGGTGGTCCTGGCTGCTGTTCTCTGTAGGAACTTTTCCTCTTGGCTCTCTTCCTGTCATCCATTTCAAAGTTCCCCTTTCAAGAACGTACAGATGGAGGCAGAGTTAAAAGACCCCTCAGCCAATCAAAATGCACGGATCTGATTTGCATCCTGATTCAAACCGTGAAAAACCCCAAACCACAACCAACCACAGAATCAGCCACTGATCATATTTAATGGGATGATTTGAAATGTGAACAATTAACAGATATTTGATGATATGAAAAAATTATATTTTTAGATGTGATCATAGTATTGTGATTACATTTTTAAAAAAATTAGCCTCAGTGAGGTATAATTTACATAAAATAAAATTAGCCCACTTTAAGTATAGAATTCAATGTGTTTGAACAAATGTATGTACAGTCATGAAACCATATGGTTACATATAAAAAAGGAGTTCTTAGGCCAGATGCAGTGACTCGCGCCTGTAATCCCAGCAGTTTGGGAGGCTGGGGCAGGAGGATCCCTTGAGCCTAGGAGTTTGAGACCAGCCTGGGCAACATAGTGAGACCCTATCTCTACAAAAAAGTACAAAAATTAGCCAGACGTGGTGATGTGTGCCTGTAGTCCCAGCTACTCAGGAGGCTGAGGTGGGAGGACTGCTTGAGCCTGAGAGGTCGAGGCTGCAGAGAGCTGTGATTACAGTACTGCACTCCAGCCTGGGTGACAGAGTGAGACTCTGTCTCAAAAACACAAGTTCTTTACCTCCAGAGAGACATGCTGAAATATTTACAGGTGAAATAATATAAAAGAATAATAGTAATTAAGGGGTAAATAATGACACAGGAAGGGGGAGTGGGCACCGATAGGGGAGCGAGTTAGACCATGAGTTGATTGCTGAAGCTGAAGGGTTTTTGTTTGTTTGTTTGTTTTTGAGACGGAGTCTCGATCTGTCACCCAGGCTGGAGTGCAGTGGCACAACCTTGGCTCACTGCAACCTCCGCCTCCCAGGTTCAAGTGATTCTCCTGCCTCAGCCTTCTGAGTAGCTGGAATTACAAGTGTGTGTACCATCATGCCTGGCTAATTTTTGTATTTTTAGTAGAGACAGGGTTTTACCTTGTTGGCCAGGCTGGTCTCGAACTCCTGACCTCAAGTGATCTGCCTGCCTTGGCCTCCCAAAATGCTGGGATTACAGGCGTGAGCCGCTGTGCCCCTGCCAGCTGAAGGTCTTTATACAGTTCTCAATACTTTTGCTATGTTTACATTTTCCATAACAAACGTTTTTACAAAGTTTTCCTCCTGAGAGATGTCTTTCATGATTGCTTTTGCTAAAATAACACCCCATACCCTCTGCAAGTCACTCCTATTTGAAATTCTGTGACTTTTCCTAGTGGGAGGTTTTTTATGACTCGTGGGTCCCCAAACCTGGAAATGCCTGGCACATAGTAGGTGCTGAATAAGTATTTTTTGACTGAGGAATGAATTCTCCCACTCTCTCATTCATTTCTCACCATATATTGGCCACTTTCTACATCCCCAGCACAGCCACACTTATGGAATGAAAGGACCCCAGGCCAAACTTCTTTGACCAGATGGGGAAACTGAGGCCCAGAGAGTCACAGATACTTGATGGGGGTCTCACAGCTCAGCAGCTGGATGAAGTGAAGGGCACCTAAGCCAAGGGCTTTCTCCACCTTCCCCTCCCTGTCCTGGTTAAGGGAACTCTTGATGGGGACTGCCTGGGTGGTGACTTTGTGTCCTCCTGCAGGCTGTCTACCTGGTCTCCAGAATGGACGGCCCTGTGGCAGAGCATGCCAAGCAGGAGCCCTTTCACGTGGTCACACCTCTGTTGGAGAGCTGGGCGCTGTCCCAGGTGGCGGGCATGCCTGTCTTCCTCAAGTGTGAGAATGTGCAGCCCAGCGGCTCCTTCAAGATTCGGGGCATTGGGCATTTCTGCCAGGAGGTGAGGGTGTGTGGGAAGGAGGGGAGAAGTGAGGTTGTGCAGGAGGGAGGGAAGAGTGAGGGGTGTGGGCTGGGGACGGGTTCGGGCAGGAGGGGAAACATGAACTCGTGCAGATGGGAGGGGAAAGGTAAGGGCAGGGCTGTGGGCAGGATGAGGGGTAAAGGCGTATTGGGAGTGGGATGGGGAGACTCTAACGCCATTCCACATAGGCCTTCATGACACCTGCTTGGGTTAGCCGCTAACCCCATTCCTTCTCTTCCCAGATGGCCAAGAAGGGATGCAGACACCTGGTGTGCTCCTCAGGTGACCCCACCTTTTTTTGTTTCATGGGCAGAGGTTGGGGGAGGAGGAATAGGCTGGAGCGGCAGTACACATCCAGGGTTGGTCTCCTCTTAAAGGCCCAGCCTCATCAAGGTCATTGATGAGATGACTACTGTGTACATCCCATCCTAGCCTTCTCCCATAGTTCAGGACTCATGATGGTAGCAAGTGCCAGAAACCCAATTCATATAGGTTTAAGCTACAGGCTCTAAGAATGGAAAATTCTTGGGATAAGTGGCTTTCAGGCACAGGGGGATCCAGGAGCTCTCCTCTCTGTCTCTCCTTCTCTGGACTTTGCTTTCCTGCATATTAGCTTTATTTTTAGGTGGGCCTCATGGTAGCAAGATGGCCACCAGGAATTCCAGCCTTGCATCCTACCAGCCTCCCAACCCTAGGGAAAAGGGAGCACCCCTTCTCGATGCCTCGCCTCAATCCTGGAATTGTTTTTTTTTTTTGGCCCCGCTTGGGTGGCGTCTTCATCCTTGAACCAATCATGGGTTGGGGGATTAGGTTCTGATTGGCTCAACCTAAATTATGTGTCCCCCTCTTGAGTGGAGGAAGGAGTCAATGGGGCATATGAATGTTGGGGACGAGTGACTCTGAAGGGATATGGAGGGGGAGGGGAAGGCATATCAAAGGCCAATCAGCTCTGCCCACTGCCCCTTTCCTCCTTTCTGCACAGGGGGTAATGCGGGCATCGCTGCTGCCTATGCTGCTAGGAAGCTGGGCATTCCTGCCACCATCGTGCTCCCCGAGAGCACCTCCCTGCAGGTGGTGCAGAGGCTGCAGGGGGAGGGGGCCGAGGTTCAGCTGACTGGAAAGGTAAGGGCTCTGGGAAGGGGAGAACCATCTGGGTGGGCTGCTCTCCTTCACCTCACCCCACCCCTAAGACATCCTGTCTCCTTTTCCTTTCGATGAGCTGTGGCTGGGACCCAGTCCTCTCTCAGGATAGCTGAGCTGAGGGGGGAATGAGGTGGGATGGGTGTTGAGGGCTGGGATCTCCCAACTTTCCTCTGCCCACCCTGAGAAGTACCCCTCATGTGTGAACCAAGACAAATGGGAAGCTGACGATGAACAGGAGACTGTCTGTCTCCTTATATCCTCACCAGCACCTGGTATTATCTACTTTTAACATTTTTGCTGTTAGATAAGACAAGAAGTATCAAGATGATGGCAGCATTAGTTCTCATTCTGAGACCACCCCAATAGAAATGGTATCCACTGAGAAAGATATCACCGGTTCCCTTTGTTACCAAAGAAATAGAGACACAGATACAAAATCTGTCTTTCCTTCTGTGAAGAAGGAAAAAATCATTCAAATAATGGAAAACAGATTTTTAAACCTCTCGAAATTAAAACTAAAAGCCAAACTATGGTACGTTAAAGCTGGTCCCAAATACTTCCTGTATATAGTTTCTTCCCTTTCTTCTGTCCTTCCTTCCCTCCCTCTCTTCTTCTTTCCTTCCTTCATTATTTCCCTCCTTCCCTCTTCCCTCCCTCCCTCCCTCCTTCCCTCCCTCCTTCCTTTCTTCATTCTTTCTCTCCTTCCTTCCTTCTTTTCTCCTTCCTTCCTTCCATTTATTCATCCATCTAACCATCCTTCCACACATCACCCTTTCTCTCTCCTCTCTCCCTTCTTTCCATCCATCCATCCATCCATCCACCCATCCATCCATCCATCAGATATTGATTGAGCACATATTCAGTACCTGCTATGTTAGACATTCTAGAAACACAGAGATAGTAAGACATGGTCTTTACACTCATAAATTTGAGATTATTATGAGGAGACACACAGGTAACCAGATGATGGTAACAAAGTGTGAAAAGTGTTGCCACGGGGGAAGCACAGGGCACCAAGGAAGTCAGAGAGAAGGTGTGTTGTTTTAATCAGCTATTGTTGCTTGGTAATGCTGCATAACAAACAGCCCCCAAATAGCAGCAGCTTATAAGAAACATTTGTTTCCGATGCTTTGGGTCTGTGGGAGGGTTAGGGTGGTTCTGCTTTGGAATGTGGGGAAGGATTAAGGTCTGCAGATGTCCCCTGTGTCTTCCCCAGCCAGTGGCCACTGGGGGCACGTTCTTCTCAAGGGCAATGGCAAGAGGGGTGAGAAGAAACGCATGACGGCTCTTAAGACCTCAGCCCAGAACTGTTACACTGTCAGTTCTGCCATATGCTGTTGGCCAGAGCAAGTCACACAGCTGAGACCAACATCAATGGGGAGGGGACATGTGCTCCACCCACTCTAGTGAGAAGAACAGCAAAGCCACATGGCAAAAATAAAATAAATAAATAAATAGATAAAAAACCTGGGCACTGTGGTGTGCACCTGTAGTCTCAGCTACTCAGGAGGCTGAGTTGGGAGGATCACTTGAGCCCAGGAGTTTGAGGCCAGCCTGGGCAACATAGTAAGAGCATGTCTCTAAAAATAGTAACTATTAAGCCACATGGCAAGGTGTAGGTGTATGATTCTAACAGAGGGAGGCAGTGGAGAATTGGGCAGTGGTCAAACCAATGGGCTGTGCCTTAGATTTGGGGAAAGGATCCAGGACAGGCTCCCAACAAGGGTCCCCAGGGTTGGGTATTGAAGGAGAAATCTGAGTCCCCACAGTGGAGAAAAGGGAGGGAATGATCTGATTGTGAACAGAGGAAAAGCTGTGGGTGAAGGTGTGGCGTGGATGAGCACGGTGCATTCAGGCTGAGCCCAGCGTCAGGGAGGGATGGTGAAAGGTGAGGCTGAAGAGGGGCAGAGTTGCTCCATCAGGCAGGGTGGCTTGTAGGTGAAGCTAATGTGTTTCCACCTGAGAGCACTAGGGAAGCATGAAAGGAGTTTGAGCAGGGGAGGGACCTGGTTGGATTTTCACTCTGCCTGCTCTGGGGCAATGCAGGAGAGGAGCCAGAGAGGAGGCTGCTTGGGGCCCTACAGGTGAGAGATGTCAAGCACTACACGGTTTTGAATCTATTTTTTTCTTTAGTTTTAATTTCAGATTCAGGGATACATGTGCAGGTTTGTTACATGGGTATATTTCATGATGGAGAGGTTTGGGCTTCTAATGATTCTATTGTCCAAGTAGTGAACATAGTACCAACAGGTAGTTGTTTTTTTTTTTTTTGAGACAGAGTCTTATTCTGTCGCCCAGGCTGGAGTGCAGTGGCATGATCTTGGCTCACTGCAACCTCCGCCTCCCAAGTTCAAGCAATTCTCCTGCCTTGGCCTCCCAAGTAGCTGGGATTACAGGCACCCACCACCACACCCAGCTAATTTTTTTTTTTTTTTTTGAGACGAGTCTCGCTCTGTTGCCCAGGCTGGAGTGCAGTGGTACAATCTCGGCTCACTGCAAGGTCTGCCTCCCGGGTTCACACCGTTCTCCTGCCTCAGCCTCCCGAGTAGCTGGGACTACAGGCCAGCTACTACAGCCACCACGCCTGGCTATTTTTTTTTTTTTTTTTGTATTTTTAGTAGAGACAGGATTTCACCATGTTAGCCAGGATGGTCTCGAACTCCTGACCTCGTGATCCACCTGACTTGGCCTCCCAAAGTGCTGGGATTACAGGCGTAAACTGCTGCGCCCAGCCTAATTTTTGTATTTTTAGTAGAGACAGGGTTTCACCATGTTGGCCAGGCTGGTCTCGAACTCCTGACCTCAGGTAATCTTCCTGTCTCAGCCTCCCAAAATGCTAGGATTACAGGTGTGAACCACTGTGCCTGGCTGACAGGTTTGTTTGTTTGCTTCTTTCTTTCTTTCTTTCTTTCTTTCTTTCTTTCTTTCTTTCTTTCTTTCTTTCTTTCTTTCTTTCTTTCTTTCTTTCTTTCTCTCTCTCTCTTTCTGTCTCTCTGTCTCTCTCTCTCTCTGTCTCTGTCTCTCTCTTTCTTTCTTTTTTTTGAGACAGTCTTGCTCTGTTGCCAAGCTGGAGCGCAGTGGCGCCATCTTGGCTCACTGCAACCTCCACTGTCCGGGTTCAAGCGATTCCGCTGCCTCAGCCTCCTGAGTAGCTGGGATTACAGGTGCACGCCACCACACCCGGCTATTTTTTTGTATTTTAGTAGAGACGGGGTTTCACCATGTTGGCCAGGATGGTCTGGATCTCCTGACCTCAGGATCTGCCTGCCTCGGCCTCTCAAAGTGCTGGGATTACAGGCGTGAGCCACTGCGCCCAGCTGACAGGTATTTTTCAACCTCTGCCACTCTCTCTCTCTCCCCACTTTTGGAGTCCCCAGTGTCTCTCGTTCCCATCTTTGTGCCCATGTTTATACCCAGTGTTTAACTCCCAGTTGTAAGTGAGAATATGCAGTATTTGGTTTTCTGTTCCTAAGTTAATTATCTTAGAATAATTGCCTCCAGCTGCATCCATGTTGCTGCAAAGGACATGATCTTTTTTTGTGGCTGCGTAGTGTTCCATGATGTATATGCACCACATTTTCTGTATCCAATCCACCATTGATGGGCACCTGGGTTGATTCCATGTCTTTGCTATTGTGAGTACTGCTGTGATGAACACACAAATGCAGATCTTTTTGGTAAAATGGTTTATTTTCCTTTGGGTAGATACTCAGTAATGGGATTGCTGGGTCAAATGGTAATTCTATTTTTAGTTCTTTGAGAAATCTCCAAACTGCTTCCTATTGGAGCTGAACTCATTTGCATTCACACCAACAGTGTATTTTTTGTTTCAGTAACTCAGGGGAATGAGACTCTTCTCTTCAGCCAGATGGGAAATTCCTTGCAGTCAGAGACCATTTCTTGGCTTCTCTCCTGCTGAAGAGTCCCCATACCTAGAACTGGGCACAGAGTGGGCACTGCAGAGTCCCTGAGGATGAGCAGGGGCTAGTTCTGCCCCCCTTGTGACCCTCCATCCCTCCCTTGGGAGAGGAGGCCATTGTCTACCATTTAGTTTCTGTATCTGGTTCCTGCTGAGATCGGCTGGCATGGGGTCCCTCTGAAATGCTGTCTTAGTTTGGATTCTCCCAAAAGCGGTCCCTGAAATGAGGACTGGGGTGCATGTGGTTTATTTGGGAGGTGATTGCAGGAAGCATTGGTAGGGAGTGTAGAAATGAGTCAGGGAAGGGAAGAAAGCCTGTCAATGGTGTGTGAATGAGCAGGGGACCTGGATCTCTGCCACAGAGGCCAAGCCAGTGAGAAGAGAAAACTCACCCCTGCTGTGGTTGCCTTGGGTCCATCATGGTCAGGGCCGGCCCTATGTGCCATCTCTCTGGCTGCTTGAACTCAACTAGCAGGCCATCAGCTGGGCCATTGCTGGTTTCCACGGACACACTCTATGGTGACCAAGTTGCTATCTGGTGTTTGACTTTAGGGGGCTTCTCCCCTACTGGTTGGCTAGAAGTGGGCACCATGTGGCTGACCTTGGAGCTGACCCGCTCCCAGCCTCCCTGGCTGGCCTGGCCTGGTTTTCATAGTGTGGCAGTAGGACAGGTCGCTTGGGTATTGTGGAAAGCACATGGCATCTGTTTGTCCGCCTGGAAGTGCTTGTCCAATTCTCAGGAGGCCTCTGGGCCCACACCAGGTATGGTCTCATCTGCAGGGCTGTCCCCAGACTACTAGATCCTGGGGCCACCAAGGAGATCCTGGGCCTCTGCTCCGGCCTCCATAGCAGTCCCACTCCCGGCTGTTCTGAGGGCCCTTGGTTTCTCTGTAGGTCTGGGACGAGGCCAATCTGAGGGCGCAAGAGTTGGCCAAGAGGGACGGCTGGGAGAATGTCCCCCCGTTTGACCACCCCCTAATATGGTAAGGCTGACGCCCCTCTCCCCAGGAGTCCAGAGCTGGGAGACCTTCACTGAGTCAGGGTCCTCCCATTGGGCAGAAGGAGAAACTGAGGCCCAGAGGGGAGAAGAGGCTTCAAAGCCAGGCAGACATGGGTTCAGATCCCACTTCTGCCCCCTTGTGAATTGTGGGACTTTGTGCAAAGCACCCCAGATCCTGTGCCTCAGTTTCTATGTGTGTAAAATGGAAGTGATAGTACCAAGTCTCCTTTACTGAATATGTGCTTTGGGACCAGGCACCAGGCTAATGGCTCCTCCTGCACTGTTCTATTTACCCTCCCCAAAGCCCTAGAGGTGGGTGCTATTATCCCCATTTCATAGGTGAGGAAACTGAGGCACATCGAGGTCAAACAACTTGCCCCGGATCACACAGCTAAGTACATGGCAGATACAAAGGGCTGCAGTCAGGCTGGTCCCAAGTGATACACTTGTCCCCTCTTAACCACACATTGCCATTGCCTCTTTGCAAAGTTGGGGAGGGGGCTAAATTGGGATAATGTCCAAGAAAGGGCCTGGGAGGTTGATGGAGATGGGAAGGGATGAGCAAACAAATACATAATAAAGAAAATGAATGAGGCCAGGCGCGGTGGCTCACGCCTGTAATCCCAGCACTTTGGGAGGCCGAGGCGGGTGGATCACCTGAGGTCAGGAGTTCGAGGCCAACCTGGCCAACATGGCAAAACCCTATCTCTACTAAAAATACAAAAATTAGCTGGGCGTGGTGGTGCGCACCTTTAGTCCCAGCTACTCGGGAGGCTGAGGCAGGAGAATCGCTTGAATCCAGGAAGTGGAGGTTGTAGTGAACTGAGATCGTGCCACTGCACTCCAGCCTGGGTGACAGAGTGAGACTCTATCCAAAAAAATAAAAATAAAGAGAATGAATGAAGCTGAGTGAAGTAACTGTTGCAGGACTTCCTCTCCCCTCACCGTGGATGGGATGGGGATGGTGGGGAGGGGTTTATGTATATGAGGGGGCAGAGAACCCACCCCTGGTAAATTCCCCCACCACAGGAGCCATCTGGGCTGGGGTCCTCCCTCACTCTGCTTCTCCCTCTCACCCCCCCTCCCCAGGAAAGGCCACGCCAGCCTGGTGCAGGAGCTGAAAGCAGTGCTGAGGACCCCACCAGGTGCCCTGGTGCTGGCAGTTGGGGGTGGGGGTCTCCTGGCCGGGGTGGTGGCTGGCCTGCTGGAGGTGGGCTGGCAGCATGTACCCATCATTGCCATGGAGACCCATGGGGCACACTGCTTCAATGCGGCCATCACAGCCGGCAAGCTGGTCACACTTCCAGACATCACCAGGTGGGTAAGGGCTGGGGACATTTGTAGGGGCTGGAGGGTGGGTGTGCCACTGTCCTAGGGCCTTCCAGTCCCAGCCGGTGGAGACGGGGGCACCCAAAAGGCTGTCCTTGGTCCTGGGACTCCAACCACAGTAAAGTGGACCTGAGTTAGAAGGCAGTGCTGAAAAAGGAGATGAGGAATATGATTCATGTAAACCTAATCAGTTCTTAAAACAAGCTTTCATTGACTTATCATTACAAAAGCAATCCATGTGTGTTGCAAATAAGTTTGAAAATGTAGGCCAGGCACCATGGCTCATGCTTGTAATCCCAGCATTTTGGGAGGCTGAAGCAGGTGGATCACTTGAGGTCAGGAGTTTGAGACCGGCCTGGCCAACATATAGTGAAACCCTGTCTCTACTAAAAAAATACAAAAATTACCTGGGCATGGTAGCGCACGCCTGTAGTCCTAGCTACTTGGGAGGCTGAAACGGAAGGTTTGCTTGAGCCCAGGAGTTTGAGGCTATTGTGTGCTATGATCGTCCCTGTGAATAGCCATCGTGCTCCAGCCTGGGAAACTTAGCAAGACCCTGTCCTCCCCCAAACCCCCCAAAAGCCAATAAATTTTAAAAAGAACATGATCACTGAATTTAGGACCCACCCTAATCCAGTATGATTTCACCTTAATTTAACTAATTACATCTGCAAAGACTCTATTTCCGAGTAAGATCACATTTTGAGGTTCTTGGTGGATGAGCATTTTTTTTTTTTTGAGATGGAATCTCACTCTGTTTCCCAGGCTAGAGTGCAATGGCGCGATCTCAGCTCACTGCAACCTCTACCTGCTGGGTTCAAGTGATTCTCCTGCCTTAGCCTCCCAAGTAGTTGGGATTACAGGCATGCACCACCACACCCGGATAATTTTGTATTTTTAGTAGAGACGGGGTTTCACCATGTTGGTCAGGCTGGTCTTGAACTCCCCGACCTCAGGTGATCTGCCCACCTTGGCCTCCCAAAGTGCTGGGATTACAGGCGTGAGCCACTGCGCCCGGCAAGGACACACTATTTTTGAGCACCTCCTCTGTGACTTATAATGCTGAGCTCCAACCAGCCCATGGCAGGATGGGAGGGGGTGGCTGGGGCTGGGGAGAGACCTGTTTCACCAGCTCTTCCCTGAGCCCCTGGTCTCCCTGCCCCACCCTGCTCTATCCTGCAGTGTGGCCAAGAGCCTGGGTGCCAAGACGGTGGCCGCTCGGGCCCTGGAGTGCATGCAGGTGTGCAAGATTCACTCTGAAGTGGTGGAGGACACCGAGGCTGTGAGCGCTGTGCAGCAGCTCCTGGGTGAGTGATCCCTGTCCTCCACCTGGGCTCAGAGACCCACGAAGTCCCTGCATCCTCTAGCAAGAGTGTGTTCTGTCTTATCTGTATCCTCAGCACCAGGCACTGGCTAGGTGTGCAGTTACTGTGCACTAAGTGCACGTCGAGTAGATGGAAGGGGGTGAGGATAAAGAAGGAGTGTATCTTGCTGTCTCTAGCCCCCAGACTTTCATACATGCTGCTCCTCTCTCTGGCTGGCCCTGCTCCCTATTGGTTTGATGTGACTGAGGGCTATCAGCCATCATAGCACCTCCTTCAGGAAGCCTCCCTTGATCACTCACCCCACGCTGCCTGGGTTGTGGACCTCCAATGCACCACTCCCTGTGTTCATAACCTCCTGGTTCTTATCCCTCTACATCACTGATGTGAGCCCCATGAGGGCTGGTGTGTCTTAGTCCCTGACGTGTCCCTAGGGCCTTCCTGGCATAGGGCATGGCAGGTAGTAGGCACTCAATAGATGTTTGTTGATTGAAGGGATGAATATATGAGTGAGTGGAAAGGTGGGTAATGGATAGATGGACAGTGGATGGATGGACGGATGGATGGATAATGAAGTGACGGATTGATGAATGGTATAGAAATGAATGAATGGACAGACACATTGATTAATGAACATGTTGATGGATGGACAGACAGTCAAATGATGGATAGAGGAATGGATGGATGGCTATGAATGGGTGGATGGATGGATATGTTGATGGATGGGTACACTGATGGATGGACAGATAGATAGTCTAATGATGGATAGAGGAATGGATGGATGGATAGAGAGATAAAAGGTGGATGGTGGAAGGATAGGAGGCCAGGCTGATGGATGGGGAGAGCGTGAGACAAGTGATGGATTGCCAGCAGAGCAGATGAATGGCTGACTGGCTGGAGAGATGGCTGCAAGGATCTGCCGTGCCCAGGGCCTGCTGAGCACCGAGTGGTTCTTCTTCCCTTTCCTTCCTCTCTCCATCCCCCGATCCTGGCAGATGATGAGCGTATGCTGGTGGAGCCTGCCTGTGGGGCAGCCTTAGCAGCCATCTACTCAGGCCTCCTGCGGAGGCTCCAGGCCGAGGGCTGCCTGCCCCCTTCCCTGACTTCAGTTGTGGTAATCGTGTGTGGAGGCAACAACATCAACAGCCGAGAGCTGCAGGCTTTGAAAACCCACCTGGGCCAGGTCTGAGGGGTCCCATCCTGGCCCCAAAGACCCCTGAGAGGCCCATGGACAGTCCTGTGTCTGGATGAGGAGGACTCAGTGCTGGCAGATGGCAGTGGAAGCTGCCCTGTGCAACTGTGCTGGCTGCCTCCTGAAGGAAGCCCTCCTGGACTGCTTCTTTTGGCTCTCCGACAACTCCGGCCAATAAACACTTTCTGAATTGAGTTTGCGAATGCTATGGATCCTATCTTTCCATGTCAGTGAGCTCACAGGAGACACACCACAATCCTGTTGCCACTTCTGTAATAAAGTGACTCCAAGCCCCATCTTAGGCAACAAAGCCAAGACTTGAAAACCTCAGTCTCTAAAGGAATCCAACCATTATGAGATCTTAAATGGGCTTCCTTTACCTGGAGGACCAGCCCAGGTTGACCAGGTCAGGAAGGAGAGGGAGATGTTCTATCACTTCTCAGGCCTAGGCAGGAGAGGAAAATAACACCAGTCTTCATGCAGTGCTTGTTATATACCAGAAACTTTGCTAAGAACTTTCTACTCATTGTCTTCTTTAACATTCACAAAGGTACTAGGAAGTAAAAACCATTATTACCATCCCCATTTTACAGATGCAGAAACTGAGGCTCGGGAAGTTTACATAACTTGCCCAAGACCACATAACTAGGATATGTGATCACTTGTCTCACTCTGTTTCCATCCATCAACCTGACCACCCATCCGTCCACCCATCTATCTTTTATCTCTCTATCCATCCATCCATTCCTCTATCCATTATTAGACTGTGTGTCTGTCCATCCATCAGTGTATCAATCCATCCATTCATCCATCCATAATCCATCCATGCATTCATTCACAAGCCATCCACTCATCCATCCATCAATTCCTCTATCATTATTAGACTGTCTGTCTATCCATCCACATATCCATCTATTCATCTATAATCCATCCATCCATCCACATATCCATCCATTCATCTATAATTCATCCTTCCATCCATCCGTCCATCCATCCATTCCTCTATCCATCATTAGACTGACTGTCCATCCATCAGTGTGTCCATCCATCCACATATCCATCCATTCATCTATAATCCATCCACCCATCCATTCATTCATCCATCCATTTCTCTATCCATCAATAGACTGTCTGTCTCTCCATCCATCAGTGTATCCATCCATCCACATATCCATCCATTCATCTATAATCCGTTCATCCATCTATAATCCATTAATTCATCAATCCTCTGTCATTAGACTGTCCATTCATCAGTGTATCAATCCATCAATATATCCATCCATCCATCCATCTATAATCCATCCATCCATTCATACATTGATACATTCATCCCTCTAGCCATCGTTAGACCCTCTGTCTGTCCATCTATCAGTGTATCCGTCAATTGACATATCCATCTATCCAGATTCCCTGATTTTCAGGGTCACTCTGTATTGCTTGGATCTGAACTCTCTGTGTCGGGGTGGAGGGTGGCGGAATATTGAGGAAAGGGTAGGAAAGGGTAGGTGGGTCTGGACACACCTGTGGGTCACGAGAAGAGGCAGGTTCTGTGCCTGGGATTGGGAACCTCCGACTTCTGGGAAGTCTCTCTTAGAAGTGGGATGGAAAGTTGCACTCCTTTGAGCCACAGGGGGGCAGCAAAGTGTCTCCTATGGGGAAGGCTGGCTCCGGGCAGGAGAGACCCTCTCCTTGGGTCCTCCTGGATGCTGCCTCTTGTGGGGCCCTCACTCCAGCTGGGCATGCTGAGGTCCACACGGTTGTGGCATGCAGGAACCTTTTCCAACCCCTCACAGCTCTGCTGGGAAGCAAAGCTCAGAGAGTGCAGGGTCCGTGCAGCATCACAGGCCCTGGCAGAACCTGGATCCTGGCCCCCAGCGACGTCCTCTCTCCTGACTCATGTGGGCTGTGTGACCTTGGGCTAGTGCCGTCCCCTTTCCAGGCCTCAGGCAGCACCTCGTGCTGTAGGAGGCCCACTTGCCACTTCTCACCTCTTTTCCTTTGCTCAGGCTCTTCCCTTCGCCAGATGCCTCCTCCTTTTCCTTCTTTGTTTTTTAGGGACAGGGCCTTGCTCTGTTACCCAGGCTGAAGTGCAGCGGCATGATCATAACTCACTGCAGCCACGAACTCCTGGGCTCAAGCGATCCTTCTGCCTCAGCCGCCCGAGTAGGTGGGACCACAGTCATGTGCCACCATGCCCGGCTAATTTGAAATCATTTTTTGTAGAGATGTGGTCTTGCTCTGTTGCCCAGGCTGGTCTTGAACTCCTGGGCTCAAGCCGTCTTCCTTTCTTGGCCTCCCAAAGTGCTGTGATTACAGGCACCATGCCCAACCCCTCCTTTTCTGAAGAGCAAGATTTGAGAGTGACCGTGACCTCCCTCTGTGCCCCTGCTGCTTTGGTGTCATTTTCTCTTTAACTCCAGACATAGCTCTCGCTAGCCAGGGACCACCACCGCCACCTCTGCCACCCACCAGCTCCAGAAACCCTCAGGAGCCAGCCCCATTTTCTTGGAGTCATGCTTTGTGAATTCCCCGAATAGAGGAGACATTAAGAGCACCAGAGCTAGATGCAGCCAGACCTGAGCCTGGAATCCGCTCCTGCTTAGCAGCCTGGGCACCTTGAGCAAACGATGCTCCTTCTCAGTGCCTCAGTGTCCTCATCTGTAACATGGGTGGTTGGAGGATTGTTACTGTGGACACGACATATCTAGTCTTTCAATAATTGTCCATTCTTACTGTCTCCTGAGCATTCTTCCCCAAACAATGAGGGGAACTAGAATTTATTCATATATTGAGCACCTATAATATGCTATGGTCTTCAGCAGCTATTTCATTTAATAACCCACGCGGTAGATACTATTATTATCCCCATTTTTGCAAACGAGGAACCTGGGGCATGGAGCAGTTGAGCCACTTAGCCTGGGTCACCCAGCAGTATGGGAGCCCCGATATGTGGAAATCTGAGGCTCATATATCTAACCACTCCGGCTCGTACACCTCCTTTCCTTTGCTTAAGCTCTGTCCCCTGCCTGCCGTGCCTGCTACGCTTCCGAATCCTATACATTCTTCACAGCCCAGTGTGAGTGCAGCCTCCTCTCTGAAGCCTCCCTGGATTGGTTCAGCCAGTGATGATAGTCCCCCAACCCACGCTCCTCCAGGTGAGTCGCAGAGCCCACCTCAGCTCCAGGTGTTCTGTCTCCCAGCCAGGCCTCCCCACCCACGGTCTCGTGCTGTTGGCTCCCCTCCTGGGAGACTTGTCAGCTGCTGTTTGCTTCTCTCTTGGTCTCAACGAGTTGGAGATAAGAAGCCGAGGGGGCTGTTGACCCTGTCCAGATAACACATGTCAATTAACTCAGTTTAGCCCTTCCTGGTTGACACCCAAGGAATGCCGAGAGCAGGGATGAGGCTCAGGGAGAGAGCCAGGAGACAGGGGAGTGTTTGAAGCTGAGGCCATGCTGCTATGACTTATAGCAGGGATGGGTTCCAAAGGCAGAGGCTATTCCAATTCTGCCTCTGCCTTCTTGGCCTCTCAGCTGGGGAAATGGGGAGCAGGGACCTCTCTGTGTTTGTCTAGGCTGCATAAAAAACACTGCAAACTGGGCCATCAGGTGTGTGTGCCTGCCTGAGATATGACCAGCCTCCCACCCTAGCTGGGGTCCCTCTCCTGAGGCTGGGGGCCTCTTTGGCTCCCTGTGGCTTCTAGCAGCTGAGGCTCCCTGTGTCCCCTCCCCAGGATGACCCTAACACCTCCACCTCCAGGGGCCTCACCTCCATCTAGTCCTTCTTTCTAGTTTTAAAGCCAGGTGACAGGGAGGCTTGGAATCTTGCCTTTCATTCTGAGGTGCTCTCACCCCAGAGCTGGGCCCACACAGGGCAGGGACATGAGGAGGGGGATCCAGGGTCAGGCCTGGTCCTCCCCAACCCCATCCTCAGCCTTGGCAGGAGCCCAGTTCAGGGCAGAGTAAATTCCCCAGCACCTGCTGAGGATGGTCTGACTCTCATGTAGGGAAATGATGGCTCAGACTGACTTCGTGTCTTAGTCCATTTGGGCTGCTATAACAAAATGCCATAAATGGGGTGGCTTATAAACAATTGAAATGTATTGGTCACAGTTCTGGAGGCTGGAAAGTCCAAGACCAAGGTACTGGTCTTGGTGTCTGGTGAGGATTTGGTGTCTGGTGAGAACCTGTGCCCTCATCAACAGCCATCTTCTCACATTGCCCTCCCATGGTGGAAGGATCTCTCTCAGACCTCTCTTATTTTTTTACTTTTATCTATTTTCTAGATGAAGTCTCACTCTGTTGCCCAGTCTGGAGTGCAGTGGTGCGAGCTCAGCTCATTGCAACCTCCTCCTCCTGGGTTCAAGTGATTCTCTTGCCTCAGCCTCCTGAATAGCTAGGATTACAGGCTCAGGCCACCATGCCTGGCTAATTTTTGTATTTTTGGTAGAGATGCGGTTTTGCCATGTTGGCCAGGCTGGTCTCGAACTCCTGGCCTCAAGTGATCTTCCTACCTCAGCCTCCCAAAGTGCTGGGATTACAGGTGTGAACCACTGTGCCTGGCCTCAGACATCTCTTATAAGGCACTGATGGTTTCATAAAGGTCCTCTCCCCATGACCTAATCACCTCCCAAAGCCCCCAGCTCCTAAAACCATGGGGGTCAGGGTTTCAACTGTGAATTTTGGAGGAACATAGACATTTAGACCACAGCACTTTGTATCCTAAGTCAGCTCTGTGGTTGTGTGTGCACCCGTGTAGTTGTGTACCTGCATGCATGTGTGTTTGTGTCCATGAGTGCATGAATATTTGTGTGTTTATGAGGGAATAGACACAGTAATTGAGGGCTGCTTGATTTCCCCCTCAATGTGGTGCTTCACATTGTTGCATTTGGGACTTGTGATGTAATCACTAGCCAGACATCAAACTTGGATGTCTACAGTGAAGCAGCCTGGGGGCTAGACATTAAGGAGTGATGGGGACTGAGGCCAAATGGAGGGCTTATGCTCTGTCTAAAGAACTTAGCCACTACTCAGCTCCAGCCAATTGCAGGCCCAACATAACACATCTCCCAATTTCATTAGTGTTCACTCAAAATCAAAGCCGTTTGGGAAATGCTGTTTGTTCCATTTGCTCATGTATTCATATAAAGGCTCTGACAAGTCCTGCAGGAAAGTCACTGAATCTGGGGGAGGAGCATGTGACCCCAACCTGAGCCAATCAGAGCATTACATTTTCCATGCTCATGGTGATTGGTTCAAGGGTGGGCCCCCGGAGCCAAGCTGTCCAATCAGAGTAGCCCTCGGAAGTTTAGCTGGGAATAGGGAGGCACTCCTAGCTGTTCATTTCTGCAAGCCAATAAATGTCCCTTTCTGCACAAGCCTGGACCTCCTCTCATTTGAGACTTAAAGGATCCCGACGGATGGGGTACACACTTCGTACATGTCTGCTGAATTGAATTGATTTGCTTTGAGCTGCCTGGATTTGAATCTTATCTCAGCTTGGCCCTCAGCAAAATGAGGGCAATCTTCTCTTTGGATCCACTTTTTATTTTTGCTCCCAGGAAGCTGGGAGTTCATGCCGTTTGCCCTTACAGGAAGAGCAAAGTAAAACTCAATGTCATATTGCTAAGGAGTTGGGTGGCAGTATTTTACGAAGATAGGGAGATTTTAAAAATCAGATTGGGTAAAAGTCTCTTTTGGAAGTGACTGGTGTAAATAATGGTTAGGGCTGGGGTAACCCAGAGACACCTCCAACATTTAAAATTCAAGCCTGTTAGGAAGACAGTTTCCTAATTTTCTTATTTTTTTCTTCCTTTTACCTTTTTTTTTTTTCTTTGCGACAAATCTCACTGTCACCCAGGCTGGAGTGCAGTGACATGACCTCGGCTCACTGCAACCGCCACCTCCCAGGTTCAAGCAATTCTCCTGCCTCAGCCTCCCGAGTAGCTGAGATTACAAGAGCACACTACCACGTCCAACTAATTTTTCTATTTTTGGTAGAGATGGAGTTTTACCCAGGGTGGCCAGGGTGGTTTTGAACTCCTGGCCTCAAAGTGATCCACCTGGCTTGGCCTCCCAAAGTGCTGGGATTACAGACCTTAGCCACCGCGTCCAGCAGTTTCCTAATTTTCCATCCATCTTAGGGGCTTGGAAAGTTACTCTGAGTTGGAGCCTCCTGCCTGAGCTTCCTGGAGGCCTGGTAGAGCAAACATTGCTGATGGTGAGGGGCATGGGGAGGTCCAGAGATGGGCAGCTTCTCACTTCAGGACACCTGGTGTGGGCACCCAAGGGTCTTCCCACTTGCCTGGTGGGGTGCTTTGTTCTCATGGGGACATAGAGCGATTGATTGGGGACCTCCATGTCCAGCTCCTCCGGGGCTTTCTGGGTCAGACTGGGCACCTCGTGTCCCATGGCAGGGGGATTTGGGAGATCCATTCTGGACCTGCACACCTATTTCCATTACTTTGTGTTTCTGGTTCATTTCAGAATGAACGAATGAATGAGTATATCAGTTAGGGTTTGGTTCAGTTTGACAATTCAAGAAACACAAGATAAGAGACTTAAACAAAATAGAAGTTTGTTTCTCTTTCACTTAAAAGTTTGGAATTAAGGCCAGGAGCAGTGGCTCATGCTTTTAATTCCAGCACTTTGGGAGGCCTAAGTGGGCAGATCACTTGAGGTTAGGAGTTTGAGACCAGCCTGACCAACATGGTGAAACCCCGTCTCTACTAAAAATACAAAAATTAGCTGACTGTGGTGGCATGTGCCTGTAATCCCAGCTACTTGAGAGGCTGAGGCAGGAGAATCACTTGAACCTGGAAGGCAGAGGCTGCAGTGAGCTGAGATTGCGCCATTGCACTCTAGCCTGGGTGCAAAGGGAGACTCAAACAAACAAACAAACAAACAAAAAATAAACGAATAGAAGTTTGGAATTAAGCACTCCAAGGCTGGTGTTGTGTCCAGTGGTGTTGGGGACTCAGACTCCTTTGCTCTGTTTGTGTGGCCGTGAATGGCTTCCACTCCCATGGTCATCTCATGGTCCCAAGTGGATGCTGGAGGACAGCCACTGTATGCTAATTCCAGGCAGCAGGAAGGAGGAAGAGATGAAGAGATGAAGAAGGAAAACTTCCTTCTCTTTAAGGACACTTAAAATAGTTGCTACACACTACTTCTGCTCATAGCTCATTGGTCAGAACTTAGTCATGTGCCGTAACTAGCTGCAAAGGTGGCTGACAAATGTCAGCCATGCAACTCAGCCAGAATCAGAGGCTCTGCTATAGAGGAAGATGAATAGAATGGGTTGGGCACAGTAGCTCATTCCTGTAATCCCAGCACTTTGTGAGGCCGAGATGGGCAGATTGCTTGAGGCCAGGAGTTTGAGACCAACCTGGGCAACAGGGTGAAACCCCATCTCCACTAAAATTACAAGAATTAGCTGGACATGGTGGTGTGCTCTACCATTCTACTCAGGAGGCTGAGGCACGAGAATCACTTGAACCCAGGAGGCGGAGGTTGCAGTGAGCCAAGATCGTGCTGTTGCACTCCAGCTTGGGCGATAGAGCAAGACTCCCTGAAAAAACAAACAAACAAACAATAATAGAATGGATGTTGAGGATGAAAAGAAGTCTTTGCCATATGGAGCAAATGTGTAAGGGTATAGGTTAAGCTGCTATAACAAAAAGATCTAAAACTACAGTGTTATTTCAGGGCAGGTAGGCAGCTCTGCTCCACAAGAAAATATAGGGAACCAAGCAGGTTCTTTCTATTCTGTTGCTTCACCCTATCTTGAAATATTGTTCTCATGTGCCTGGTCAAAATTGGCTCATAATTACCAAGGCTGCAGTAAGGGGAAAGAGAAAGTAGAGGGCAAGATGTTTCCTTTTAAGGGCATTACCCGGATGTGGCACACTTCCCTTCTGCTCATAGCCCATTGGCCAAGACTTAATCACCCAGCTGTAAGAAAGGATGGGTAATGTAGTCTCTATCTGGGAGGACACTTACCCAGCTAAAGCTCAGCGTTCAATTTCTAAAAAGAAGACTTGGGACTGGAGGGTAACTAGCAGTCTCTACTACAATGAAGAATGAAGGAGTGGATGAGTGAGTGACTGTGGATGAGGAGGTACTCCAGGTGAGCTAAAATCTCTCTGCTCTGGGACAAGCTGCCTGGAGGACCAGCTCCAGACTGAGCTCTGTTTGATTGGGTGGCCCTGGGAAGGGCCCTGTAGGCTTAGACCAGGTCGTGTGGTTTGCATGAAAAGGCAACAAGTTTGGAGAAATTAAGAAGGTGAAGTCAACAAAGCTCAGTGATTGATTGGGAAAGGGGGTGGGCCAAGGGTGGCCACCAGGTTTCTGGCTTGGGCAACCATCTGTGCAGATGTCTGAGACGGGGGATCCAAAAGAAGGGAGTAAAGGGGGTTGGGGAATGAACAGCCTAGGGATCCATGCAGTCATTTATTTGGCAAATATTTATTAAGCACCTACTCTGTGCCAGGCACTTTTCTAGGCATAGGGATACAGCAAAAGCCCTGGCTTCAGGAGGCTTACATTCTAATGGAAAGAGACAGACAATGGCAAAGCCCCAAACAAAAATACACTGTGTCAGATACCGATAGGGGGTTTGAGGAAAGGTGAGACAGGATAAGGGGAGAGAGAATGGCAAGAAAGGGGTGGGGGGCTATTTATTGTGTTGGAATATTTTCAACAAATCCTAAGCATTACACTGTTTTACTCATCAAGTATAGCAGTATGGATCTCTAACAGATTAGAAAAAAATTTTCCCTGCCTGGGCAACATAGAAAGACCCCATCTCTACAAAAAAACACGACATTTTAGCCAGGTGTTGTGACTCATGCCTGTACTCCTCAGCTACTTGGGAGGCTGGGGCGGGAGGATCACTTAAGCCCAGGAGTTCAAAGCTGCAGTGAGTTGTGATTGTGCTACTGTACTCCAGCCTGGGTGACAAAATGAGATCTTGTCTTAAAAAAGAAAGACAAGGTCGAGTGCGGTGGCTCACGCCTGTAATCCCAGCACTTTGGGAGGCCGAGGTAGGTAGATCACTTGAAGTCAGGAGTTTGAGACCAGCCTGACCAATATGGTGAAACTCCATCTCTACTAAAAATACACAAATTAGCTATGTGTGGTGGCACACACCTGTAATCCCAGCTACTTGGGAAGCTGAGGCAGGAGAATCGCTAAGACCCGGGAGGCTGAGGTTGTAGTGAGCTGAGGTCACATCACTGCACTCCAGCCTGGGCAACAAAAGCGAAACTCCATCTCAAAAAAAAAAAAAAAAAAAAAAAAAAAAGACAGGGGGATTGGGGGTGGGGGGGAGGTGGAGAGAGAGAGAGAGAGAGAGAGAGAGAGAGAATTAGTTTGTTGGATCAGAATCTAAATAGTCTTCATATTGCATTTTGTTTTTGTTTTTGTTTTTAATAGAGACAAGGTCTTGATATATTGCCCAAACTGGTCTCTAACTCCTGGGCTCAAGTGATCTTGCCTCAGCCTCCCAAAGTGCTGGGATTACAGCCACGAGCCACCATGCCCGGGCTATGCTGCGTTTGATTGCTCTATTTCTTACGTCTCTTAATCTATTACAGTTAGCTGAGAGAGAGTGATCAAAGAAGGCCTCTTTGAAAAGGTGAAGTTCGAGCTGAGGCTGGAAGGAGATGAAGGAGGCCATGCGGGGCATGCAGGGGAAACAGCATGTGCAAATGTCCTGAGGTGGGAACGTGCGAGGAGGCCAGGGTGGCTGCAGGGAAGAGGGTGAGGGGAGAATAGTAGAAGATAATAGAAGACAGACAGAGCACGGGAGGGGGGTGGGGGTCAACAGAAAGGATACCGGATCGTGAAAGGCCTTGCAAGGCTTTGGTTTTTCCTGAGCATGAGGGAGGTCCTGGAAGAGTTCAGCATGAGACATCTCCCCTGCCTGCCTCCCTCAGCCCTGTTCTCAGCCTTGATTTCCATCTCCTGTCCTGGGCATCCTTTGCCTCTGCAGTGGACATTACTGGTGCCCTCCACTCCTGGATTCAGATCCTTTAACCAGGCAGGTGCAATCATCCCCCAGCTGCTGGGACGTGTTGGCTGCTAACAGACTTCAGCTGCACCCTGTCCAGAGAACTGCCTATGGGGGTTGCCTTGTCCAGAGATGTGTGGGGTCACAGCTGCCTGAGGGTGGCCCACAACCAGTGACTGGCTAATACAGGCATATATTAATAAAAAGCACACCCCACCCTGGGCTGGGTGCAGTGGCCCACACCTGTAATCCCAGAACTTTGGGAGGCCGAGGCAGGTGGATCACCTGAGGTCAGGAGTTCAAGACCGGCCAACATGGTGAAACCCCATCTCTACTAAAAATACAAAAAATTAGCCAGGCATGGTGGCAGGCGCCTGTAGTCCCAGCTACTTGAGAAACTGAGGCACAAGACTCACTTGAACCTGGGAGGCGGAGGTTGCAGTGAGCTGAGATTGTGCCACTGCACTCCAGCCTGGGTGACAGAGGAAGACTAGAAGAAGAAGAAAAGAAGAAAAGAAGAAGAAGAAGAAGAAGAAGAAGAAGAAGAAGAAGAAGAAGAGGAAGAGGAAGAGGAAGAGGAAGAAGAAGAAGGAGAAGAAAAAAAACAGATCCCCTCATTTCAAAGTGGGGCAACCCCATGGGTACCATTCAGGGTCCAGACTCCACCTGAACTTGCATCTGAGCCTGGCTTCCCCCCATCGCTCTATTCTGCCTCTTTCATTCCTTCTACTGGGAGCCCCCACTTAGTAAACCATGTGCCCAGAATCCCCATCTCAGCCTCTGCTTGTAGAAAACCCAGTGTAAATGAACACTCTCCCCCTTACCCCTGTCCCATTGGCCTCTCTCTTCCCCGGTGTTTGTGCTTTTTAAACTCCACCAAAAATGTCATGGGCAGGTTTCTTGCTTTGCTTCTAAACTCCCTGATAAATTCCGCTGGCTGGGCAACCCCAGGAGAGGTTTATTGGAGCAAGAAACCCCATAAATCACCCCGCTGCCACTCCAGCGTGGGCAATATCTTATGTAAAAAGGTGTTTCCTGGGAGCGCCACAGGCAGGAGAATCCTATTACAAGCCGCCCCATTAATTATAAAGAGTCAAGTCGATGCTTTCCTGCAATTTTTTATCTTAAGTCCAAAAACTGATTACCTTCACCAATGCTTCCCCCTCCAAAAAGATCTAAAAAATAAAATAAATGTTTGAAGAACAAATACCAAAGTTTCTCCTTTTAGGGTAGAGCCAGCAGAGAGAGAGGCGAATGAGAAAATACCTTTTTTTACTTTCTTTTAAGGTAAAAGTCAATGGGGACTTAGCCTGTGTGTGGCATATTTCTTTGACTACCTCAGCTCTTGGAGGTGGGTTCTATAAATTGGCCCATATTACAGATGAGGAAAACTGAGGTTAACCTGAAATTACATGGTTGGCCCATTCTTCTGAGATGATGAGACGGGCAGAAAATAGGCCAGCCAGGTATATAAAAATCTGAGTTCAAATCCCACCTCTGCTCCCTACTAGCTAGGACCCTGAGCAGGTGCATTCACCTCTCTGAGCCTCAGTTTCCTTTTCTGCATAATGGGGAATGAAAGCATCCCTCAAAGGCTTCCAGGAGAGAAGATGTGCCATTGTGCACACAAAAGACACCAACAGGCTCGTCCCTTATCTGAGGGAACCAGCAGCCTCCCCCCAGCCTCCTGCTGCTAGTCTTGAGGCTGGTACCCCCAATTTAATTGCCACCCAGAAGCCAGAAGTCAGGGTAGTCTTTTTTGTTTGTTTCATCAGAGCCTTGCTCTGCTGCCCAGGCTGTAGTGCAGTGGTATGATCATGGTTCATTGCGGTCTTGGACTCTGGGGCTCAAACAATCCTCCTGTCTCAGCCTCTGGAGTAGCTTGGACCATAGGTGTGCAACACCCCACCCCCTAGCTTATTAAAAAATTATATATATAATACATGTAATATAATTATGTTATATGTAATATATTATATATAACACATATAATGTATAATATATAATGTATAACATATAAAGTATAATATATAATATATTATATACATACATTATATAATATATAATATATGCATATTTTATATAATATATGCATATATTATATACATACATTATATAATATATAATATATAATATATGCATATTATATTATATATTATATACATACATTATATAATATATAATATATAATATATGCATATTATATTATATATTATATACACACATTATGTAATATATAATATATTATATAATATATGCATATCATATTATCTATAATATATGCATATCATATTATCTATAATATATGCATATCATATTATCTATAATATATGCATATCATATTATCTATAATATATGCATATCATATTATCTATAATATATGCATATCATATTATCTATAATATATGCATATCATATTATCTATAATATATGCATATCATATTATATATAATATATGCATATCATATTATCTATAATATATGCATATCATATTATCTATAATATATGCATATCATATTATATATAATATATGCATATCATATTATCATATATAATATATGCATATCATATTATCTATAATATATGCATATCATATTATCTATAATATATGCATATCATATTATCTATAATATATGCATATCATATTATCTATAATATATGCATATCATATTATCTATAATATATGCATATCATATTATCTATAATATATGCATATCATATTATATATAATATATGCATATCATATTATATATAATATATGCATATCATATTATATATAATATATGCATATCATATTATATATAATATATGCATATCATATTATATATAATATATGCATATCATATTATCATATATAATATATGCATATCATATTATCATATATAATATATGCATATCATATTATCATATATAATATATGCATATCATATTATCATATATAATATATGCATATCATATTATCATATATAATATATGCATATCATATTATCTATAATATATGCATATCATATTATCTATAATATATGCATATCATATTATCTATAATATATGCATATCATATTATCTATAATATATGCATATCATATTATCTATAATATATGCATATCATATTATCTATAATATATGCATATCATATTATATATAATATATGCATATCATATTATATATAATATATGCATATCATATTATATATAATATATGCATATCATATTATATATAATATATGCATATCATATTATATATAATATATGCATATCATATTATCATATATAATATATGCATATCATATTATCATATATAATATATGCATATCATATTATCATATATAATATATGCATATCATATTATCATATATAATATATGCATATCATATTATCATATATAATATATGCATATCATATTATCATATATAATATATGCATATCATATTATCATATATAATATATGCATATCATATTATCATATATAATATATGCATATCATATTATCATATATAATATATAGTACACGTAATATATAATATATGATATATGTCATATATTACATAATATATGACATACATTATATAATATATAATATATGACATATATATTATATATGACATATATATATGACATATATTATATAATATATATGACATATATTATATAATATATTATATATGTCATATATTGTATATATTATATATATTTTTTGGGGGGGGCAGGCATGGTGGCTCATGCCTGTAATCCCAGCACTTTGGGAGGCTGAAGTGAATGGATCACTTGAGCCCAGGAATTTGAGACCAGCCTGGGCAACCTAGCAAGACCCTGTCTCTACAAATAATAACAAGATTAGCCGAATGTCATGTCACATGTCTGTCATCCCAGCTATTTCAGAGGCTGAGGTGGAAGGATTGTTTGAGCCTGGGAGTTTGAGGGTGCAGTGAGCTGTGATTGCATTACTGCACTGCAGCCTGGACAGCAGAGTGAGACCCTGTCTCAAAAACCAAAACCAAAACCAAAGAACCATTTATTTTTATTATTCAGCTTTTCGTGCCCCTCCCCTTCAATTTTGCACTCAAGGTGAGTACCCCACTTGTACCCTGGGCCATCCTTGCCGGGTACCCCTCCCATCACCCAGTTTCTCAATCTCATCACTCTGTTTTCCTACCATGATTTGAAGTTATTGCTCCCTTTCTCCTTTGGTTACTGTCTGTGTCCCCCCATAGAATATTAGCTCTGTGAGGACTGGGACCAAAATCTATTCTACTTACACGGAACCCAGGGAGTCCAGGGAGTGCCTAGTGTACACTAAGCCGTTACAAAACGTTTGCTGAATAATTGAATAAATGAACAAATGAGGAGAAAGTTCAGGAAGTCAGGCATCACCTTTCTTTTTTGTTTTCTTTTTTTAGAGAGACAGGGTCTTGCTCTGTAGCCCAGGCTAGAGTGCAGTGGAGTGATCATAGCTCACTGCAGCCTCAGCCTGAAATCAGACAAGTCAGAGGTCTGCACAACTTGGCTCCAGGGTCTTTGGTCCACTTTCCACCCACATACTTCAGATGAAGAGACTGAGGCTCAGAGAGGGTGAGTAACCTAGTCACAGTCACACAGCACAAACATGGCAAAGCCGGTCCCAAACTGAAAATCCCATGGGGCTGTATGGTTACTACAGAGAGAGCTCCAGTGACCTGGAGTGGTCTAGCTGGGGACCAGCTGTCTCTGAGTAGGCATATTCCGGAAATATCATCCCCCAACCCATATTGCCACCTAGGGTTTTGCCAGATCCCCATGTGTCATTTGTTTTTTTTTTTTTTCCTAGAGAGGCAGGGTCTTGCTCTGTTGCCCAGGCTGGCATGCAGCGAAGTGATCATAGCTCACTACAGCCTGAACCTCCTGGGCTCTAGAGATCCTCCTACCTCAGCCTCCCAAGTAGCTGGTACCACAGGCATTCACCACCGTGCCTGGCTAATTTTTACATTTTTTTTTTTTTTTTTGTAGAGATTGAGTCTCACTGTGTTGCCCAGGCTGGTCTTGAACTCCTGGGCTCAAAAGATCCTCCCGCTTTAGCCTCCCAAAGTGCTGGGATTACAGGCATGCAGCATGGTGCCTGGCCTCAAGCAACATCTTTACTATTCCCTCATTCGCATTTTTCTTGAAGCTTTCAATGCTGTTAGAAAGAAAATGTTATCACCACTCTAAATGGAGAAACCGTATCACTTCCCAGAATTAGATACTATGTGTGGAAATAGATACAATGAAAAACAAAACAATATCATTACATAGTTACTAGCTTCTGCCCACCAAGTCTCCAAGCCTGAGCCTATGGTTGCCTGGATAAGCAAGTGTTAGACGGCACTTAAGACATGCTAAACCCCACAGAGAGTCTCCTTAAAACAATCAGAAGTGCTGAAGGAGAGCTGGAAAGAGAGTGACTTCCTCACGGAATGTTAGGCATCTCTGAAAATACCTGGTTCTCCAGGGGTACCCGTCCCACACTTCAGGAAACCCTGCCTTGGTGGGAGTATCACATAACGAGGCTGATCTTTATTTCAGGGACCACCCCCGCCAAAAAAAGCGTGCAAAGCAAACTCTTTCTTCAGCAATATCTGCATTCAGACAACCTGCAACTGGTATTATAACACAGACTCTCAAACACTGTTTGTTAGGCACGAGGGTTCGTGTTTAGCTGGGCTTCAGTCTTCCTTAAATCCCCAAGTATAACACAACTGCATTTTGTTTTCTTCAGATTTTTTTTTTTTTTTTTGGAGACAGTCTGCTCTGTTGCTTAGGCTGGAGTGCAGTAATGGGATCTTGGCTCACTGCAACCTCTGCCTCCTGGGTTCAAGTGATTCTTGTGCCTCAGCCTCCCGAGTAGCTGGGATTACAGGCGTGCACCACCACCACGCTTGGCTAATTTTTGTATTTTTAGTAGAGATTAGGGTTTCACCATGTTGGCCAGGCTGGTCTTGAACTCCCCACCTCAAGTGATCTGCCTGCCTCAGCCTCCCAAAGTGCTGGGAATACAGGTGTGAGCCACCACGCCTGGCCTTTTCTTCATTTGTTTTGTTTTGTTTTGAGACGGAGTCTCTCTGTTGCCCAGGCTGGAGTACAGTGGCATGATCTCAGCTTGCCGCAACCTCTGCCTTCTGAGTTCAAGTGATTCTCCTGTCTCAGCCTCCCAAGTAGCTGGGATTACATGCGTGCACCGCCACGCCCAGCTAATTTCTGTATTTTTAGTAGAGACGGGATTTCATCATGTTGGCCAGGCTGGTCTCAAACTCCTGACCTCAAGTCGTCCGCCCACCTCAGCCTCCCAAAGTGTTGGGATTACAGGTGTGAGCCACTGTGCCTGGCCCTTCTTCATATTTTAATAATGTAAAACATAACATAAAATTAACCATTTAAAAATAAACAGTTCAGAGGCATTGAATGCATTCACAAGGCTGTGCAGCCACCTCTTCTGTCTAGTTCCAGAATATTTCATCACATGGAAAGGAAACCCTGTATCACTTTAGCAGCCACTCCCTATTCCCCTCCCCCTACCCCCTGGCAACCACCAATCCACTTTCTGCTTCTACGGTTTTACCTGTTCTGGATATTTCTTATAAATGGAATCCTCTAAGGTGTAATTTTCTTGTGACTGACTTCTTTAAATTACTGTAAAATTTTCAAAGTTCATCCATGTTGTCTGTATCTGCATTTCATTCCTTTTTATGGCTGGACCACATTCCATTTTATGGATAGACCACATTTTGTTTATCTTTCATTAATTAATTAATTAATTATTATTATTATTGAGACAGAGTTTTGCTCTGTTGCCCAGACTGGATTGCAGTGGCACAATCATGGCTCACTGCAGCCTCGACCGCCCAGGCTCAAGGAATCCTCCTATCTCAGCCTTCCGAGTGGCTGGGACCACAGGCAAGAGCCACCATACCCAGTGAATCTTTGTGTGTGTGTGTGTGTTTTTTTTTTTTTTTAATAGAGATGGGTTTTTGCCATGTTGCCCAGGCTGGTCTCAATCTCCTGAACTGAAGCAATCCTCCCGCCTTGGCATCTCAAAGTGCTGTGATTACAGGCATGAGCCATCATGCCCGGCCCACATTTTGTTTATCTATTCATCTCCTGATGATGCATTTATTTTTATTTTTATTATTTTTTTAAGACAAGTTCTCACTCTCATGCAGGCTGGAGTGCAGTGGTACAGTCACAGTCATTGCAACTTCAACCTCCTGGGCTCCAGTGATGCTCCCACCTCAGCATCCTGAGTAGCTGGGACTACCACCATACTTGGCTAACTTTTAAATTATAAATTTTTGATTTTTTTTTTTTTTTGTAGAGATGGGGTCTCAGTATATTGCCCAGGCTGGTCTCAACTCTTGAGCTCAAGCGATCCTCCCATCCAAGCATCCCCAAGTGCTGAGATTACAGGCATGAGCCACTATGCCAGCCACATTTCTTTTTTAAAAGATGTCAGATTATTCTCCACTAGGCCTTGACCTCTTACTATGTGTCAGACCCAGTCTTTTTTTTTTTTTTTTTTTTTTTTTTTTTTTGAGATGGAGTCTTGCTCTGTCACCCAGGCTGGAGTGCAGTGGTGCAATTTCAGCTCATTGCAACGTCTACCTCCTGGGTTCAAGCGATCCTGCCACCTAAGCCTCCCGAGTAGCTGGGATTACAGGCACACACCACCAGACTTGGCTAATGTTTTCTGTATTTTTAATAGAGATGGGGTTTTACCATGTTGGCCAGGCTGGTGTTGAACTTCCGATCTCTAGTGATCCACCTGCCTCGGCCTCCCAAAGTGCTCGGATTGTAGGCGTGATCCACTGCACCCAACTCCCAGTCTTATTTTCACAGACCCTATAGTTTTTCGTTAGGCAGCATGGGTAATCTTGAAGTATATTCTGAAAAGTAATAAACTGCATGTTTGTCCAGTAGGCTGTGAAGTTAGTCTTTGTTTTAAAAAATGTTTTAAGCACTTCCTCAAAGAAGAAAAAGGAATAGATAATAATGACAGCATCCAATGAATGACCATTGTCATGATTACTATATTATTAATATTATTTCATTTTTGTGTTTATTACTCAATGGCCAGCTCTCTAACAGGCACTGTGTGTAGACTATGACACATATGGCCTTATTTAACCTTTACGATGAAACTTGAAGTTAGATGTTTTTGTGCTGTTTTTATAGGGCCTTGCAAAGCTGAGGCTCAGAGATGTTGTGTACCTAATGTGAGGTCACACAGTCCCTGGTCTCAAGTTACTCCCAGCGGTGGGATGGAGACACAAACACAGTGTGGGTTGAGGTGTTGCAATGGAGGAAGACATGGACAGGAATGCTGCAGGTGCCCAGGAGGGCATCACTAGCTCAGCCAGCTACTTCCTCTACACTTACTCAGCTAGACCACAGAGTTGGAGATCTCAGCTGTTTCCAAACAAAGAAAATTTACACCATAAGGTTTTCCTGCAGTGAACAAGGGATCATGGAGAATCTGGGTGTGATTTCCAAGCCAATGCTCCAAAAATAGAGTGTGCACACAGGTCCCCTAGGAGCTGTGCAACCTGTAGTGTGCAGTTCCGGAGTGGGGCCTGAAATGCTGCGTTTCTAACCAGCTCCCAGGTGATGCCACTGCTGGTCTGCGGACCACACTTTGAGTAGCAAGAGGTTAGTAGATATGAATCCTGATCCCAACTCCTCTGTAAACTCTTTGTGGGACTTTAGGCCACTCTCTTGCCCTTCTTGAGCCTCAATTTCATTCCCTGGTCAGTTCTCTGAAGAATAAATGAATACCAGCTGTGGTGTCACTTCCTGTGTGCTTGTCAGAAAGCCATGAGCACCTGCTGGGGTGAGACATTTCCTCCCCAAGCTCCCAGGAACCCATCAGCAGGTGCTGGGGGGCAGGGGCAGGTGAGAATGGTTCTGAGCTCTGGCACAAAATTCAGAAAGAGGAAGCCAGAGGTGGTGCTGGCCTGGAGAAGCGGCTGGAGAGGTTTCCGTTCATCACAGAAATGGCCCATTTGCAATGATCGGTTACCCAGGTGTTAATAACGCTAATGGCATAGGAAGGGTAAACTTGGTCACTTGGCTGAACAGAAGAAATATGCAGAGAGGTGCTTGAGTTTCCATAAATCAGCCATGTGCAGCGCTACGAGGGAGGCAGGACTTAAAATTCCGGTCAGGAGATGGGTATTCTCATAATCCAAGCTGGAGAGGTAATTTATTCTGTTTATATCTTTTTACTGCACGACAAGGCTTGGGAGCAGGCGCCCTCCACAGCCATTCTGCATTTTAAATATTAGTCCTAAGCACAGTGGGTCAGCCCTCATGTTTTGCGGGGTGTATATCTTGGGGCAGGAGGACGGGGACAGGGACAGGGACAGGAGGAGAGCATGCATGACGGGGGTTGGAGTACGTGTGGTTTAACTGTCCAGTGTTGGCCAGAATTATAGCCTAGGGGCAGCAAGGGGACAGGCGAGGTCCCCCTTTTTCCAGTGCTGGAGGGCACTGGCAGGAGAGCCTGGCTTGCCTCTTTGCCTGTATGCCCTGGGATGTTTTTTTTCCTCTCAGAAATCTTTTATTTTTAAGAGATAATAAATACAGGCGATGAAGATAGAAGGAGATGAGCAGATACGTTAATGGAGGAGGAAAGGGAGGAGGGCGAACATGGAGAAACCAGACGTCCTTATGTCTTCTGACCTTGGCAATGTTCATGATGCCCTCTGCTCTTCTGGCTAGCTTTGTTTAACCCGGGAGGGGGTTTTAAGCAAAAGCCAATGAGGTTATTCATTAAGCCCTTTCTTAAAGAATCCCTTTTTATAGTAGCTGAATTTTATTCATTCATTCATTCATTCATTCATTCATTCATTCATTCATGTAGTTACTAGAATCTGCACTGGGCTCTGTCCTGGGTCCAGGGACAATGTGGGCTCTTGCAGCAAAAGTTCTCAATTCAAAACCTAGCTTTGCCACTCCCTGGCTGTGTGACTTTGGTCAGCTCACTTCATCTCTTGGGGCTCATTCTCTCCACCTGCAAAGTGGGAAGAACAATGCTTATCTCGAAGGGACGTTGTGAGGATTGGATAGGACTCTGACCAATGGGTTTGGAGACAGGTGGCATCATGTTGAGCAGTGGTCTTGCATGTTTGGGAGGTGCCAGAATCTCTTGGGGAGCTAAATGTGAAGCATCTTGGGCCCCACTCCAGAGGACAATTCAAGCCATAAGTGGTGGGACCTGGGGCTGCAATTTGCAGCAAGCATTGTCCTCCGATCATACTTTGAGAAAATGGTTGTGGATGCTGAAAGACAAACGTCTCTTCCCAACTGCTCCCCTTCCCCACCCAGCCTTTCTCAGGAACTGCCTCCTTAACAATGTGCACCCAGTATTATGGCTGTACACCTGCAGGGGCACTGTGCTAGTGTTGGGGTGGGAGAATGTCTCCTCCCAGAGCCCCTGGGCCCAGTAAGCACTTGGGGAGTTAAAATGAGCTCACGGGAGTGGGAGTGAATTTGGTGTGAATCAGGTCCTCTCTCTCCTCTTGTTACCCTCCATGGAAGCTGGTGTGTGTGTGTGTGAGAGAGACAGAGAGAGAGACATGGACATGGGGATGTAACCCAGGCCCTAGATTTCCTGAACCTTGGCGACAGGCTGAGTCACTTCTCTTCCATCCTCACCCTGTGGAGGAAATGATGTTGAGAGTCCATTTCACAGGTGAGCACACTGAGACCCAGAAAGGGGACATAGTGACCAGAAAGGGGACATAGTGAGCAACCTCCAGTTCCTCAGCCAGGTAGTGTCCTGGATCCCAGAGCTCCTGCTCTGTTCTGCCTCCATCCCATTCTCAGGTGACCTAGGCTGCCAACCCGCTTCACTTGTGAATACTCAGAGGAAGGAATGATGGGGAGTGTGTCCACAAGTACTGATCATGCAGAAATCATGGCATCCCTCTTGGAACCTGGCTTCTGGAGCCACCCTCAGAGATCTTGATGGGGCCACCCCAGGGTTATTTAAGTCCCTGACATAAAAGGGGACCTCTTCCTCTCCCAGTTCTCCCAGACTGAAGCTGTGAGTATTTAAGGGGCAGGTATATATCCTGTGTACATGTGTGTTAGCATGTGTGCAAGGACATGGTGTGTGGGTTTTTGTGTGTCCACAGGGGTTAGACATATTGTAGGTGTGTGCATTTGTGTACACAAGCCTGTGGGTGTCTGTTAATGTACATTTGTGTGCATATGTATGTAGATGTGTGCGCCTACCATTGTGCCCTTGTCTGTATTTGTATGTGTCTCTGTGTGCATGCACAGCTGTGTGTCCATGTGGCTGCTTTGTGTGTGTGTGTGTGTGTGTAAATCCATATGCCTGTGAACATGCATCAGTATATGCTTGTGTTTTTGTTCGTGTACATGTATTTGCATGTGTAAGTGTTCATTGTGTGGGCCCATATGTAACTGTCTGGTGCGTGTGTGTGTGCATGTGTGTGCCTGTACCTGGAGAAAGGGGCAGAGGGCTTGGTTCTACTGCGGTTTCTCATTCTGTAGCCTCACTCTGCTGCCTTCACTGAAGGACACCTCTGGGTCTAAGCGTCCTATCTGGGTAGGGGCTGGGGGCGGTCCCTGGACACCATGGAGCATGAGCAGTAGGTGACTTGGCACACCTATGGGGGCTCTTCCTGCCACAGATTTAATCTTCTCTTTCTCTCCTCCTAACCTTTCTCCCTTCTCTTCCTCTTCCTCTCTTCCTTATTCTTTCCTTTTCTCCTGCCTCCCTCCCCTCCTCTTCCTCTCTTTCACCCCTCCTCCCCTCCCCTCTCTCCCCAACCTGTATCTCCCTGTCACAACCCTGTTTGAGGAAGGGGTGAGTCCTCTCCTCCCCCTAGCTTCGCTTCCCCCATATTGCTCTGGTGCAAGTTCTAAGTGAGCCCTTCTGTAAAGTTCACACATGCCCAGAAAGCATTCAGGGACCCGCCAGAGATGAGGTCCACCTTGCAAATTCTCTCTTGGCCTCTAAAATCCGTTACAGTTAGGGCACCATAGAGAAGTAGAAACACAACCCAATACATGGGTTTGAATCTCAGCTTTGCCACTTCCCAGCTGTGTGACTTTGGGCCAGTCCCTCAACCTCTCTGAGTACCCTGAGGGGGCCAATAATACCTACCCTGATACACGTCCAAGGATTCAGCTGCAAGGATATTCTGATGTGGTTTAAAGTGGTGAAACGTTGGAAACAAACCCAAATATCCAATAATAGACTTGGTTAAAAATAAAACAAAAACCATAAAAGGATGGCTCAGCCATTGAAGAGAACTTTAAGCAGTGACTACACAGAATGACATAGCTCTGTCTATGAAGATCAGTTTATACATCTGGAAGCTATTGCTGAGTGAACCAGAGCAGATGACCACATATTGAGTATAGGGTATGATCTCTAGTTTCAAAATGAAAAAACAAAACAAAACAAAACAAACAAACAAAAAAACAAACAAAAAAACAAGAAAAGAAAAAAGAAGTCTGAAAGAAAATGCATCATCTAGATTTCCATAGTGCTTGAGATTCTGGGTGGTGACATTTTCTTCCTTTTGTTTATCTGAGATTTCTAAATTTTCCACAAGCAAGTAGCATTGGTCTGATAAAGATGAATGTGCAGTAAGGAAAGAAAAGAAAAAGGCAAGGCACATTGCATGATTCTTGTGAGGAACACATAAAGAAGAAGGGCAGAAGAGTGGGGCTCTGAGCGTGCGCCTGTCCCATGGCGGTCTGTTCCCCACCTTCCCCTGCTGCAGCTACAATGGGCCGCTTCACTCACCCCGAGCTTGGGTGAAAAGTGATCCCAATGCAGGACACTCTTCTATTTATTTTTACCTCCCTCTCCTGCTTTTCTTTTCTTTTTCTTTTATCCTTTCTTCCTTCCTTCCTTCCTTCCTTTCTTTTTCTTTTTTCCCTTCTTTCTTTTTCTCTTTCTTTCTCTTTCTTTCTTTCTTTCTTTCTTTCTTTCTTTCTTTCTTTCTTTCTTTCTTTCTTTCCTTTCTTTCTCTCTTTTTTTGAGACAGTCTTGCTCTGTCGTCCAGGCTGGAGTGCAGTAATGTAGTACCAGCTTACTGCAACCTCCGCTTCCCGGGTTCAGGCGATTCTCCTGCCTCAGCCTCCCAAGTATCTGGGATTACAGGTGCCTGCCACCATGCCTGGCTAATTTTTGTATTTTTAGTAGAGAGAGGGTTTCACCATGTTGGCCAGGCTGGTCTTGAACTCCTGATCTCAGGTGATCCACCCACCTCAGCTTCCCAAAGTGCTGGGATTACAGACATTCGAGTTGGAAGGGAATGTAGGAAGCACTCTCTCCAACCCCTGCTTTTGCAAGTAGGGAAACTGAGTCAAAGAAGGAGAGTGACTTGTTTTAGGTAGTGGCCTCAGGCCTCCTAAATCTCACTGGACACTCTTTCCCTCATGCCTTTACCTAAAGACAAGCATGCACTGCATAAGATTTGCAGAGCACAACAGCCTCACTTTGGGGAGGAGGCGCACTTCAGTCCTAACATAGCCTTGCAGATAACCAGCATCAGCTTACCAGCCTGCTCTTTTTTTGGGCCACCAGAAATTACATGGGGGAATAGTTAGGAGTGAAGTTCTAATTCTTTTGATGTGCTGGCAACAAACAAATCACACATTCATTCATTCATCAAACATTCTGAAGACCTACTATATGCTGGGCAGGCCTGTGTTAGAGCAGGGTATTACATAAAGCATGGGGAGATACGGTGCCTGGCACGTAGTAGCTGTCGAAAGAGGACAGTCACTTTCATGAACCTGGGAGTCACTAGAAGAGCTCCCCCTTTGGGTGAGCAGAGGTTTTTGCACCCATCAAGGGTTTAATGTCAGAGACCAGAACCAGGGAAAGGAATGGTTTCATTCTCTCTGAGTCGTTATCAAGGTAGGGACAAAAAAAGAAAACCACACAGCGCTGAGGGAAAAAAGATTTTTTTTTATTAATCTTTCTCTTTAAAAAAAGTTGATTTTTTTTGTTTTTGTTTTTTGTTTTTTTTAGGTAAACCTCTTTCTGCTTCCCCTCCGTCACTCTGCCCTACCTCCTCTTAAAAATATAAAAATGTCCAACCCCGGATAACTAGAGTACAATAAATAAACAGTAAACACAAAAACATACTTTATTTGTTTCTTCTTTATACAAAATAAGGAAACTAGAAGCGTTCAACTTCCAAAAAAGTATAATATTGTACATCCTGACGGCCCAGCCTCCAGGCCCTGGGCAGGGAGGGTGGTCTGTGGGTCTGAGCCCAGCAATCCTGGCGCCCCACCCAGGGGGAGAGCAGGATGTGTGCGTGTTCGAGTCCGGCCTGCTCCCTCGGGCTCAACATAAACGTCAAAGTAAGGAAGAGCGGGAGCTGGACCCGGCTGGCCACTTCCTGACCCACAGCCCTATTCCTAGAGAAGCTGACCTTGAGCCTCAAGATTGGCCACCAGGGAGCGCCAGCGTGCAGGTGGCTCGGTCTCCCTCTCGGTGGCTCCCGGTTCACGCGAGTTCCTCGCTCGCTCTCCGTCTTCTCCCTCTGGCTGACGCTGTCTCTCCATCTCCTCCTCATCTTGCCCCCTTTCCTCTCCCTCTCTTTCAATCTCTCTCCTTTTCTTATCATCTTTTTTTTTAAAGACGGGGAAAGCACAGCGAGAAATAAGATTACAAAATGCCACTCGGATTGCAGAGAGAGGGAAAAACACCGTCTCCGCCCCTTGGCCTCACCCTCTCTCAGTCCAAAGAGGTGGCGGTGGCTGGGTGGGTGGGTGGGGGCCCGGGGAAAGTCTAGAGCGTGCTCGAAATCTCTTGACCCTCCGGAGTATTGACTTTGGTCCCAAGAAATTGCTCGCGGTTGCTGGGAGAGTACTGGCGGTGGGCTGAGGCTCCTGGAGAGCCCGCGGGGTGGAGATGGGGGTCGGCCCCCCCTCGGCGCCCAGCCGAGGAGCAGCTGCCAGTTGAGTGCGGACCCGAGAGAGAACCCCCGAGGGACACCCACGTCTCCCACCGCGTCTGCGTCGGGCGTTTTGGTTTCAGGAGGCTGCTTCGGGGCGGGGCCCCCGGGGGCCGAGCGCGGGGGGCGGCCCGGCGGCCTTACCACACGGCGGCTTCGTTGAGCTCGGGGTTGGGATGCGACAGGGGTCCGCTGTAGCCGCTGGTGCCGCTCATTGGGAAGGGCGGGCTGGGCCCGCCGCTGAATACCTCGCCGGGCATGGGGTGCAGCGTGCCCGGCAGGCCTGGCTCGGGGCTCGGTGTGTCCGGGTGCGAGATCATGTCGGTGAACCTGGGGTTGTCCGCGGCGTGCGGGCCGGCGAGCGGCGGTTCCAGCGCTCCCAGCGGCGTCGAGCCGGGGCCAGAGGCCGCCAGGAAGCTGGAGTCGGCCGGGGACTGCGCCTGCGAAGGCGGGCCGTGCGCGAAGAAGTCGTAGTTGCTTCCCGGCGCGTAGTAGTCGCCTTGGTAGTCTGCGGAGGGGGAGCGGGAAGGAGACAGGGCGCGGTGAGAGAAGGCGAAGTAGGCGGGGGACCCGGGACCCGGGGAGGGGACCCGGGCGGGCGAGAGAGGGGAGCGCGCGACACCGACCCAAGGTTAGAGAGACCTGCGGAGGCCGGCGCCCCTTGAGACGGTGGACGTCGCAGGCTCACGGGGAGGGTTGGGGAGAGAGACAATGAGAGATCTCGAAAGGGCAAGAGACTCAGACTGCCAGAGACCACACACAGAGACGGGAGAGACTCCGAGACCGTGGGGGACACACGCGGCAAAAACTCGGAGACTTCAGTCACAGGTTCCCTGACACCTAGAGATGGAGAGAGACAGAGGCGGCCAGAGACGCAGAGACAGACAATGATTCCTAAGTGTCTTAGGGTCGGTGAGAGACACAGAGATGCGGGACAGCGAGAGACAGACGGAGAGATCGGCAGAGGGGCAGAGAGAAAGGCGGAAAAGAGACCCAGAGACGCGGAGTCCGCGGCTGAGACCCGAAAGCCCGAGACATCGGAGGGTCGCGGAGGAGTCGAGGAGACGCAGAGAGAGGAAAGACGGCCGCGGTTAGAGACACGCGTGGAAACCCCCGGGGGCGGCAGCGAGGGAGTCAGGAGTGAGCCCGAAGATGGAGAGAAGTCGATGCGCCCAGAGAACGCAAGACGGTGGATCAGAGATGAGTCCCAGGAACCTCCAGAGAAGCGGAGGCTGACAGGCCCGGGGAGAGGAACCGGGCAGGGACAAACCAGCGGACAGAGCAGAGCGCGAAATGGTTGAGACCGGGAAGCGACCTGGCCGGGGGAAACTGGATCCGGGCCGCGGCAGGAGCGACTGGTGGGTTGGGCCGGGCGGGGCGGCCTTGGCGCCCTAAACTCGGTCCCTGCGCCCTACCAACCCAGTCCAAGTCCTTCGCCTCGCCAAGTACGGCCGCCGCGTCGATCCCGGTGAGACCATTTGTACCGGCCTAGCCTAGCCTGAGAAAGAGAAAACTGAGCTCCAGCGACTTGGGAGAGGGGGAGGAGGACACGAAGATTCTCTGGGTCATGGCCAGAGCTCCGCGGGCTCCTTGGGGTAGAAGCTCGGTCCTCCAGCCTTGCCCCGGGTTGGTTTTGCCAGCACCCCCAGGTTCTGAAGCATCTGAGGACATTGAGATCTTTTGAGAAGCTGGTGATAGCTATGGGCTCTCTCTCAAGGAAAATGCAAGGATGAGAATTTTGCCCATAAATTCAGGAGGTGTAGGGACTCCGGATTGCAAACCCATTCTGCCTCAACAAATCTGTATCAACTCTCTGACCGCCCCACATAGCCCCTTTTCCAGAACCTTCGGGATATCCTGCCTTCCCCCACCAGGTGGGGCCCTGAAGGACTGACGTGGGGGACGTCACGAAAGGACCACCTTGTACCAGGCACCCGCTTTGTACGGCGGGAAAACCAGCGAGTCCAGAAGCCTGAGTCTCTTCTGCAAATCCACTCCCCCTGCTGAGTCCTGGGATCTCAGTCAAGGGGCGAATTCCTGATGCCCCCTGCCACCCTCTTCCCTCTCCAAACCCTGAAATCTGTCCAAATGGGGGGTGTCTGGAGGCGTGGCTTGGAGGCAGTTTAAGCAACAGCTAAAACGGTTGCCAATTACTTTTTAAAACCATTAATTTAATTCTCCCCGAAAGTGAAGGGGAAGATGGGGAGCGGCAAATTTGGAGCCCCAAAGGGACAGGGATGGGAGACGGCCGCGGCCCGCGGCGAGCCGGAAAACCAGCGAAGGCCGCTGCCCCCGCGCCGTGCGCGCCGCCTCCGCCCATATGGCGGCCGGGCCGGAGGTAATTGGAACAAACGCCGTCTGAAAAGGGCACAAAAGCCGCAGCTGGGGCTTTGTCCGCGCTCCCACGGGGAGCCGCCGGCCCCGCCGCCCGGCCCCTTTCTCGCCCGCTGCCGGTCGCCACCGCCGGGATCTCCCAGCGCGGATTAGGCGGGGCTGCCTCGCTGGGGGCTGGGGAGTCTTCCCCACCATTACGGGGAACGAGGGGCCCCCAGTATCCAGCTCCCCACCTCATCCAGCGCGCAGGGAGAGGAGGCGGTGGGATAGGTCGGGGCGGGGGCGAAGTGGTCCTCGGGGAAACCTTGGTTAATTATCCAGGCGGGGAAAAATTCCGGGCCGGTACCGCCCCCACTACCTCGCTGCTCCGGGCCCAGATTTTGTAGGGAAAGAGGCAAATTTAGGTGGAGAGAGTCGGTGAGTGGAGACTCCGGAAGACACGCCCACCATCCGGGCTCTCCAGGGTTGGGGGTCTGTCCGGGGTTGGGGGTCTGTCCAGGGTTGGGGGGCTGTCCAGGGTTGGGCGGCTGGGGCGCTCCAGCCTGAGCCCTGCCACTGCCTGGGGTCTCTGCCCTGAAAAGCACAGCCTGGCATTTTGCCCACAATTTCTAGGGGCCCCGGTCCGGTCTCAAGGTCTAATCCCCCCTCAGGCTTCCGGATGTGCTGAGGTTAGTGATGGGGTTATCTTCCCTTCCCTTCTGCGTCTACCTGGGTGCCTAGCTCCTGCCTTGCTAACACTGCCACTGAACCCACTTTCTAAGAGAAATTGCCTCTTCCTAACCTGCGTTACAACTCAGAAGTGCAGATGCCTCTCAGACATAGACAGTCCTGGGGTCTCTCCAAATTCAGAAGCTTCAGAATAGAAGAGGAGAGGTGCTTTCTTGAGCCCTCAGCCCTGGGAAGAACAGGACAGTGAGCTTGGTGAGCTCAAGCAATGCGGCTCAGGGTAAGGAGCTGAAAAAATCGGATAGGGGGAGTTGGGATGGCTCACCAATCCAGTGTGAGGGAAGTGAGAGGAGGAAAAGCTGAGGTGGCAAGGGGACAGCTCACCCCAGGCCCAAGCCTGGTACCACCATCTGAAGCCCTTTGTAAACTGGGGCTCCTCGCTCTCTGCAGCCCCAAAGACGGTGGAAATCTGGGGTTGGCCCAACACTTGTGCCCCCAGTCTGTAGGAACCCCAGGGGTCTCGGGGCTGGAGGGTGGACTACAGTCCTGCCCAGAGCAACTGCCGGCATTTGGGCTAACACTGCCAGATGCTGTGCGCACACACCCCGCCACATGGAACAGGAGTTGCTGCCTTCGATGCTAGTGAGCAGGCGGCTTGGAATGAATCCAGACCCCCATCCCCTCCCCTCACACTACCCTCCAGCGCTCGGAATCCACCTCATGCCAAGTACACCAGGCACAGGGCGGCAGGAAGGCTGTGCGTCTGTCCGTGGGGGCCGCATGCATGTGGATTTGCCAGTACTGGCCTCAGTGTGACTGGTGGGAGTGTGCGCGTCTGTGGAGTTGTGTCTCCGTGAGTGTACCTGTGTGTGAGAGGGTGGAATTTACCTATACGTGATCGTGCGATCGTGTCTAGACGTGTGTCCCTGGAGTCTCTGAACGCAAGTGTGAGTGCACCTTGTGCCCTGCGTGGGTGAATGTGTCACTGTATCTCGTGTGTGCTTCTGTGTGCATCACTGTATGGGTGAGACCATGTATCTGATTTTGTGTCCAGGACATGTGGGTGAGTGTACATGTGTCTGTGATCGTGTGTCCAGCGAGTGGGCGATGTTCTGGAGCGGCGGAAAGCGTGCTGGCCGGGACCCTTCGCCCTCAGCTCCCGGAATAGGACAGGTGCGGAACAGCGAATCCCGGGGCGCCCCTTACCTCCGTAGTAGGTGTACGGGGTGGACCCCAACATCTCAGACTCGTCCAAGCGGCCGCCCAGCGGACGCATGCGCCGCGGACTCCGGAAGAAGGCGTGCCTCCGGGCGCCTAGGGCGCTCAGCTGTTTCATCCGGCGTTCTTTGGACCGTCGGTTCTGAAACCACACCTGGGACAGAGGAGGGGGCTGTGAACCCAGGATCAGGAGTGTCCTCTCCCCCCCTCTTCTCCCTTCCCTGACTGGGCTGCCCCTGCTGGGTCCTTGCGCCTCTTCCGCACCAGGACTCCCCCGAGGCGGGGCCGGGCCGGATTAGGCCGGGAGGGGTGGAGAGAGGCTTCGGCGAACCAGCCAAGGGTGAAGGATTTCGCGGACCCGTGGGGCGACTCATAAAGACTTGGGCTTCCTGGTCCCCGGCTCGCCCGCGGCCTGACGGCTCTATAAAGGCCTCCCTCCCGGCACGGCTCTCGCCTCGGCCCCTCGGCTCCGGAGCCAGCCTCTGGCCGTTTGTCTGCCCGCGCTTCGGCGCAGGGAGGGAGGGGGCATCGCCTGTTTCTCTGCTCGAAAGGTGGAGGTAAAGAGGGATCCCGGACCCCAGAGAGGCTTACAACCTTCCATAAGCAAGGCGGGGGGCGGAATTCAGAGAGGTAAAGTGACCCGCCCCCAAATCGCAATACCAGGAGGACAGCAGGGCTAGATGGAATCTTTCGGTTCACAGTCCCCGACCTCGGGCAAGTGCCCCACTCGGGCGCACGGTCTGCTCCCAGACCAGAACCAGGCGCGCTCGTAGCCAAGGAAGCTTGGCGGGAGACTCCTCCGAGGCTCCCGGCTCCCAGGCCAGCGGGGCTAAGGAGCTGTGCCCGCCCCGGGCCGCACCTGGATGACGCGCATGTTGAGGCCGGTCTCCTGCGCCAGCTGCTCGCGGATGTGGCGCGTGGGCTTGGGCGTGGCGGCGAAGGCAGCCTTGAGCGTCTCCAGCTGCTTGGCCTTGATGGTGGTGCGGGGGCCGCGCCGCTTGGTGCCCGAGTTCTGCTCCTCGTTCTCGTTGTTGGCCGTCTCCTTGTCCGACGAGGTCGAGTTGTCCGTCTCTTTGGGGTCGTCCTGCAGTGCGTCCTGGAGGTCCGGGGACAAACTGCGGTCCGTACAGGATGACACTGCGGGCGGACGGATCGGGAAGGGGACAGCGGCGTCAGCGACGGCCAGACGCCTCTTCAGTCCAGTGGCGGGTTCCCGCCGGCCCAAGCTACGGCCTGCCCAGGCTACGGCCAGCCCCGCTGGATTCCCTCCCAAACCTGCGACAGCCCCTCCCCCAGGGACCCGGTGCCCGCCCACTCTCTCCAGGCGGGGCTGGGCCTTTGGAGGGGCGCTCTTAAGCCCTCTCCGCGCGTCTCAGCTAGTACCTGGGTAAGGGTAGGGGGACGCGTACCCTCTGGAGAACTCCCACTTTCAAGGAGAGGGGACAAGGAGGGCACAGATTCCCTTGGGGCTTGGATCTTCCTCTCTCTTCCCTCCTCTCTCCAGACCTCAATTAATGTCCTTCCAGTGCATCAAGAAATTACCTGGAGCTCAAGTGACACATAAGGGGGAATTGTGCGCTTCCAAATTAGGGGAGGAGGGCAACTTGGAAAAGGCTCCTGAATTGGAGGAGGGTGAGGCAGAGCTGGCAGGTCTCAGATCCCCTGTAAAACCTGCTCCAAAGCCACTTCTCTTCTCTAGCCTCTAACCCCCTTGCCTTGCCCTAGAACTGCCTGGGGCTGATGAGCTCCAAGCTCAGCACAGACAGCACACCGGGGGCCAAGTAGGGAGTGCCAGGCTGGGCACGGTGGGAGGGTGCTAAGGCCTAAGGCTAGTGAGGGGCCCAGGCTTCCTACCTGAGTTGAGGCTGCCCTCCTTGAGGCTGGATGAGCTCAGGTAGTCGTCTTTGCACACGAACTTGTTCTCGTCGATGACGTAGAGCTCCTCGCCGGTGGACAGCTGCTTGTTACACACCATGCAGGTGAAACAGTTGAGGTGAAAGACTTTGCTCCGGGCCTTGCGCACCAGGTCGCTGGGCGAGATGCCTTGCGCGCAGCCGGCGCATTTCGTGCCAAAGCGCCTGTGGACACAATGTGCCTGTCACTATGGGGTGGGACTGCATCCAGCCCTCCCCAGCCCCTGACCTCTTCCCACCCGACCTGGCTTCGGTGAAGTCCCCATTTCCATATCTGTCAAACGGAACCCCAATCCTGAGCGCTCTGGCCAGAGTGGGAGAAGTGGGACAAATGTCCTGAGCTGCTTTTGGGACTGGGACTGCCATGCCTCCACTGGGGCTTTTCAGACTCTCCTGAGCTGGGAAGGGGTGAGCAGTGGGTGCAGCCTTCAGCCAAGAAGAGAGCCCAGAGCACCCCAAGATGTCCTCCCCCAAACCCAACCCCTGCCAGGCCTGCCTGGGCTGCTCCAGGCAAACTCAGAGTCCATGAATGATTTGAAGCCAGGCGGGGAGGGTTTGGGCCACTTGGTGGCTCTGCCTCCTGGATCCTTTCTAGTCTGCTGCTGCCTAGCTAGGGCCAATCTGCCTGGCTGGCTGAGCCTAGCCATGAGGTGGGGAGCCCTTCTCCTAGGCTGGAAGGAGGAAGCAGAAAGGAGGGAACCTTCCACTGATTTCCAGTACCAATGGAGAGGCTTTCCAATCCACCGCTCTGGGACCCGCTGGAGCTAATCAGGAGCTGTGGACAGCAGGGCCTCATAGTGATGGACCCTAGAGAGCAGGGATGAGTTTCAGCCCCCCTAAACCTCTGGCCTGGCAGGCAGCAGGGGAATGTGAATAGAGGACAATCATAGATCCTGCAAGGCCAGGACAGGAATCTCTCAAATCCCCGCTTTCCCGCGTTCCTGATCTCATTCCTTTTCTTTCTTCTTTGAGCTCAGGGAGAAAGCCAGCCTCCCCCGAAATAGGAGATGGGTGAGGCTCAGGTTGGGGGTGGGGTGGGGGAGGACCCAGGACTCTAGGGACCCCACATCTACTCACACCCATGTCTCTAAACAGGGCGAATTTGGGTGACATTGATGTAGTGAGGGCATTAGAAGCCATAAGTCACTTTTGGCCTTATCCGGCAGCGTAATTGGCCATATGCACCTTATCAAAAATCATTAGGCACTTTGCAAGCACTGCTACATTAGGGGCATCGGGCCTCCGGGTCCAGGGAGTTAACACGTGTAAAGGAGCGGCTGACATTTTCTCCCATTCAAATTCTCAGTGCGGAGTCGCTGGGGCCGGCAGGCTGCCTTTCTCTGTGGCGTGATTCACGCCCCCATTCCTCAGCGCGGGGAATTCCTGTTCACAAAGCCGGCTCTGGGTGCCCAGAGGAAACAGGTAGGGCTCAGCTGCCCCAAACTCCAGTGGCTTCCAGGCTGGGGAAACTGAGGCCCAGAGAGGTGATCTGCCCTGGCCAGCCACAGGGCCCACAGGGGTAGGGGGGCTGGGGAGGTGCCACAGCCCAGTCTAGACCCCAGAGGTCCTGATTCTCAGCCTCGATTTCGTTTCTACTTTTCAACATGGGAGGAAATGTTTAAGGGGTTGGGAGGTGGGTGGGGGAGGTTCTCTCCTCCCATCACCAGGGGAGACCTTCCTCGCTGGGCCCCCTCTGGAGCTGAGAAGTTTCTGTTTGGGATTGCGGCCGATGGGCTCACACATTCTGCCTGGAGCGAGAAGCCTTCAGGCGTCTCTAACTCATGCAAAAATCCTTCCTCTCTCTCGGGACGGGGCTTGAAGCTTCTGTCTTGGGGTTGCAGCTGCTTGGAAGGGGCGGAGAGGAGTGGATAGCAAGTTTGTCAGGGCTTCCTCCCTCTGCCCCGCCAGCGCTCTGAGCCGGCCTCGAGCCAACGTGAGGCAGCGAAGCAGCGTCCTTCTTCCTCCGCCTGGGCTCGGGACCTTTCCTGGACCAAGGACAGGAGGAGAGCAAAGTGCTGCCCGCTCCCCATCTAAGCTTGTGATCCGGGGAGGCTGGGATGGGGATGGGGGTATCCCCTTCCCCAGCGCCCCAGTGGAGCGCGCGCAGGGTGGGCGCGCAGGCAGCAGAGCGGCGCGGCCTCTTACCTGAAAAAGTCATTTTTGCAGTAGAGCTTGCCCTCGCGCGAGAAGCACTTCTCCGAGAGGTTGGTTTTGCACTCGCAGCACTGAACACATTTGATGTGCCACGCGCGGTCCAGCACGTTCAGCAGAAAGCGGTCGAGGATGGGCCGCTCGCAACCGGCGCAGTGCACCATCATAGCCCCGCGCCCCGGCGGCTTCGGCCGCCTTGCCCTCCCTTTGGGCCCCTGGCCCTCGGGCCTGCCGGGCCCTCCGCTGCCCTTCGCCTCTTGTCTCAGCAGCTGCAGGGCGAGTCTGGTCCGGACCAAGACTCAGCCGGTCCAGTCCTTGGGCAATCTCTGGCCTGGCGCTGGGCTGCCCGGAGTGGGGTGGTGGGGGGCGGGTGGCGTTCACAACCTCATGCCACGGGCCGCACGCCCCGGCGCCTGTTCCGGGCTTCCCCAGGTATCTCGGGTGGCTGCTGGCCTCGGCGCTGCGGAGCGGCTTTCCCCGGTGGCGGAGGCGCCGGCACTTTCCCCCACTTTCAAGCGGTCCGGATCCTCATCTTTGTCTGGTCGCCGCGTAATTCGCGCATCCTTATTCAGATTTGGTGACGTGGCGCTGCACGTAGGGGGCCCAGCGGCCAATGGGCGCACCGTGGCCATGGCAACCTCTTAAATTTATAGCATATCTAAATTGGCTACAGCGTTGCTGTCCGGACAGAGCAAAAAAAACAAGGCATCAGTATTGTTGAGTATTAGCTTGTACCTGGTTCGGAGGCTAAGTAAGTATTTACCTTCCAGTTTGGGGCTGACGGGGCGGGGGCAGCGCGAAACGAAAATTGCGTCTCTCTTCCTCTCTCTTTCTCCTCACAAATATTTGGGGGTCACGGGTTCCAAGGCCTAGTCCGGGAGGTACCCCTGCCCCCTTCGCCATCCCTGGAACTTGCAGAAGTTGCCCCACGCCCCACACTTCGCTCCCCTTCTCCAGCCCAGCCAGCCCAGATTGGATTCCCCCACCCCCGCGCCCCCTCTGCGCCCTGAAGCTGCGTCAGCGCGGTTCTCCCGGCTCCTGGAGCCGGCCCCGGCTTCTTTTTGTCATACACGGGGCTGGGGCCCAGCCGGGCCTTTCTCATGGAGAGAGCTAGTGGAGACCGCGCGGCCTGGGTAGTTTTCCCCGCCCGGCCGCCGAGCCCAGGCCCAGGCCCAGGGTGGGGAGGCGGGGGAGCAGGAGGGGTGCCATTTGGCCTGGTCCCGAACTCCAGAGTTTCAGGCCTGAGTGCGCTGCTCACGGGGCTCTGAGGGAGATGTGGACAGGGGGAGATTCAGGGTGGACGGGTCTTCCCGCAGACAGCTCGGAGGTGGCACTCACCACGTCTCTCCTTTCCTCGCTGCACCTTCCAGATTCCAGGTCAGCCTATGGGGCACTGTGGTGAGTGGGTCGTACGGCTGAGGCGGGGGACACCAGCGACTATGAGAGCGCTGTTTGTATTCACGCCGTGCGGGCTGGGTGTGCAAGTTCGTCCCCTCATTGGGCGCAGGAGAAGCGGCGCACGTATGTTCCGTGCTCGGCAGGGCGCCCAGAGTGTGAGGAGAGAGAGTGTGTGTGTGTTAAGGGGGAGGGGGGATGTTGGCAGGTGTGCGTGAGGAGGGGGTGTGTGGGTCTGAGTAGGAGAAGGGACCAGGCCTCCTTTCCCCTGGGGCCAGCGTGGCCACCAGGGATCCTAGTTGGGGAAGCCGGGAATGGGCAACCAGGATTTGCCTTTCGCTTCTGGAAAGGGGGCTGAGGGAGTAGGGCCTGGGACCAAGGGCTGGAGCTGGAGGGGTTTGTGCCAGCACTTGGCTGTGAATGTTTGTTTGGGTGTGTTTCCTGAGCTTGTTAGTGTATACTCGCTGTTTGAGAATTCCATTTTTGCATCTGTTTATTGTGTTAGTACCATCAATCCTGTGAGTAAATTTCTGCGTGTGCGTTTTCGTGTGTGCAGATTCGTGTGTTTGTAATTGTGTATGGTCCTGCTAATGTTTGTGTTTATCACTGTGTGCACTTTTATTTTTGTTGGTCTGTGCCTATGTGTGTTTGCTTATTTGAGGATGCATAAATGTGAGGGTGTTTTCATGTGTACGTGTGCATTCACGTAAGAGTGTTTGTGTCTGTGTTTGCAAGCATTGATGTGAAGGTGTACTTTGAAAAATCTGAATGTGTGTGTTTGTGTGTAGGTGAGGGCGTGCATGCTTGAGACCCTGTGTGTATGAGACTGAGCTGGCTTGGTTGTGTTTGTGAGTGCAGAATTCTGAAGAGCTATGTTTGTGTGCCAGTCGCTGTGTGTGTGTGCCTGCAAATGTGTGTATTTGTGCAAACAGTAGTTTTTTGTTTATGCAACTCCTGTAGGCTTTTGTGTGTGTGTGTGTATGTGTGTGTGAGGGGGTTATGTTTGTATTTGTGTTTGTGTGTGTACTCCTAGCTGCGCTTACCTTTGTGGATTCGGAGGTTGAGGGAGCAGGATTTGTGGATGCCTGTGTTGGGGCTCAGGGATGCCCACTTGTCCCCCTTCCTCTCAGGCCTAGCACTGTCCCCCACAGTATCTAGGGGAGGTGATCTTGCTAGGGACAGGGAATTGGTGAGTGCTGGTTACAGAGTGGAGCATTGACTCACCAGCCAGCCCGCTGGAAAAGGAATCCCTAACCCGGGCAGCTTCTGCTTATTGGTGCTGTTACCTGACCCTCTAGCTTGTCAGGGGACAGGCATCTACAGAGCATAGTAGTAACGCTGGTTAGAGCCCAGCTCAACCAGGAACAGGCAGGATGAATCTCACTTGGCCTCCTAGGCTCGGCCATGAGAGACTTCAAATGGAACTGCAGTTTCTGGCAGCACTTGGCCCTGCCCGCCTGGGCTTAAAGGATCCTTGAGCTCTGGCAGGGGCAGAGCTGGAAAGAAATAAGAACCCGAAGAGGAGAGAGGTGCTCAGGCTCCCGGCAGAGGTGAACTGTACTGCCTTCTCCGTCTTTGTCTCACTAGGCTTTTTCTGTCTCTCCCGAGTTCTCACCATATCTCTTTTCCTTTCTGTCTCCGTTTTTCTCTTATGCTCAGAATCTGTTCTCTTTCTGTTTCATTTTCTCTTGGTTCTCCCTTGTTTTCTTTCTCCATTTCTCTCTCTCTCTTTTTTTTTGTTCTCCTCCCCTGGCCTCTCTGCTGGAGCTTCCAAATCCAGCATCCGACTCAAAGCTGAGATGAATGCTCCTTATTTTGCATCGTGCAGATTTTGGGGTGTGGGGGGAAGACTTGCACCCCCACCACGTGCTTCATGATCATTCAGAACCTCCATCCAACCACTTTCTTCTCTGCTCCAGACTAGGCACACTGAGCCCATTCTCCCCCAAACCCCACAAAATATGCAAAGTGCCCTGTCTGGTGTGTGTTTCCAGCCCAGGCTTTGCCCACCCATTGGTGGTGGCTGGGGGCCTGTGTACCCAGCTCTATCTGAATCTCAGATCCACTAGTCCTCATCTCCCAGAGAGCTTCAATGCATAGCCAGGCTCTAACAACCGTGTGGCCAGGCCAGGGAGGTCGTAGGAAGAGGGAAGAAGATGAGAGCAGCCCTGAGTAGGGATGAGCGTCAGTCACCTGGGGCTGGATGTTTGGTTGCAGGAGATGAGGACTCTGTTTCCAGAAGCCCTGGTCTGATCTTCCATCTCTTGTAGGGGAACTCACCAATCCTGCCCTTGTTGCAGTCCCCTAGAGTTGCGTTGGGGGCCTCATCCTCAGTACAGCTCAGCCCCAGTTCGAGAACTCCCTGGACCTGGGCTCAGCCAAGCTGCCCAGAACCCGCCCGGCCTTCTCTAGCCCACCACCTTCCCCGGTGCACAGCATCGGAAAATGCCAGCAGACCAGCTATTAGACTCATCCCGACCTAACAGCGCTAACAGATGGCGACCAGGCAGCGAAATCCCCTCCTATATGTAACTAATAAACCGCTTGTGTCTTAACAGGGTAATGCATGGAGACGCAATGTCACTTATACAAGATGTTGATGGAATTTACTATATAAAAATCTTCCTCCTAGAGTAAAGAGTATCAACATTACAACTCGACAGACGGCGGCGGGATAAGTAAAACAGACAAAAGACAAACAAGATAATAATCTGTTTCCAATCACTTAAGCCCTGTAGAGTTAGTAATATGCGGTTTGCATATTCCCCCTTGAGTTCGGTAATTAATTACTGGCGAGGAGGCGCACACTAGCCTGGGGTGGGAGTTTTGGGGAGCGCTGAGCTGGGGCGTGGGGCATACCTCTCTTGAGTTCTCCAGCCCGGGACACCGGGCAGCGGCCGGAATGAGGGCGCTTCCAGAGGTTTGGAGCTGACCCACCCGCGGGTTGAAGAGGTCGTTTCAGTTGCACCTCCCTATTCCTCACCGGAAAGCCTCCGGCCTGGGAGATTCTGCAGCCAAGCAGGAAAGGGGGTCTTCTCTGGCAGCCAGTGTCTCTCCTGGCTCCTCTTAAAGCATCCTCTCCTTCGAACGGCCGGGAGTGGCAGCTTTATTGGGAAACGCGCGCTCTGGGGGCCCAGGTGGCTGGGGGGACCGGAGAGGCGCGCGCTTTGCCCACTTCTCTTGGTGGCATCTTGTGCGACCCAGCCCGTCCTCTCCCGACTTCGATCATTACCGCTCCCACCCCAACACGCATACTTCCCCCACCCCACCCCCAAGAGCCAGCGCGGCTTTAACATTAAACAAACGCAGCGAGCGCCTCCGAGCTGCGCTCTCGGCCGGGTCTGCGCGGCGGCGGCGGCGTTACAAATTGTAAATTTAAATTGCTCGCCGGATTCATTACCTCCCCTCTTTGATTTCAGCCAGCCGTGAAAAATTATACTGGTGTACCACTGAGAAACTGTTTTGCCGCAAAGAGCCTACGCCTAATCACTGGCTTTCTCCCTCCGACAAAAGTGTAATTATTTTGTTTGGGGTGTAAATATAGGCCGCGCCTCGCACACACACTCAGCGTCCCGCAGCGCCGCAGAGCACCGCCCGCCGCCGGAAGGAATCGGGCCCCCGAGTAGGAGCGGGCGTGAAGGCTGAGCCCCGCTGTCTGGAGGCCGGAGGAGAGCGGCTGGTGTGGCGCTCCGGCGAGACCCAGCGAGCCCAGCCTCTGCCCTCCGCAGTTCGGGTTTGCCCGAGAACCTCGGGACCGCGCGCTCCCAGGCGGGCCAGAGAGGACGCCGGCGGGGTGCAATGGGTGCTCAGGCCTAGACATCCGGGCAGGGATGCGAGAGGGATGGCGGGGGTGGGAGTGGGGTGGGTGGGGGGTGGTGGTGAATTTTCTGGGGAACCCTTGGGGGTGGCCGTCTGAGAGCGGCCCGGAGCCCAGGCGGGGAGAGTGTCCTGGCCTGGGTGGAACCCTGGGAGGCGGGGGCGTCGTGGCTGGTGTGCCCCACTGGCGCTAGGCCGTGGATTGCTTGGTTTCCAGAACATCTCTGCGGGGCGCAGGGCCTTCCTGTCAGTTGAATCGTGCTCGGCTTAATTAACGGTCTCGTTAACTGGGCAGGCCCGACCCGGGACGTTTAATCAAAAAGGCAGGGAATTCCTCCTCCCTCTCTTCTCTCCTCCTTCCCTCCCTCCCTCCCCCTTCCCTTTCTTTTCCTTTTCGTTTCTTCCTTCCTTCCCTCCCTCCCTCCCTCCCTCCCTTCCTTCCTTCCTTACATCCTTCCTTCCTTCCCTCCCTCCCTTCCTCCCTCCCTCCCTTTCTTCCTTCCCTCCCTCCCTCCCTTCTTCCTTCCTTCCTTCCTTTCTTCCTTCCTTCCTTCCCTCCCTCCCTCCCTCCCTCCCTTTCTTCCTTCCCTCCCTCCCTCCCTTCTTCCTTCCTTCCTTCCTTTGGAGAGCTGCAGGAAGTGGGAATTAAACAATGGCATCTCCCACCAAGTTTTCTCCCTGCCCAATCTTCCTCTGCATTCACCCCCCAGCACAGGAAAGCAGGGCTCTGAGTCTAAACTAAACCCCAGTCCAATATCCGGGCTGGAACTTTAAGGGGGCTTCCTGTGGGACCCGGCAGGGGTGGGCCAACTCTGAGTCAGACTTCTGGGGCTGTAGCATCAGGGGCCCTAGCTAGTGGAAGTCCACTGGGCCTACTACCCCTCAGGGGACAGGCCCTGGATCTTGGTGGTTGGAGCAGGTGGAGAGGGCAGTGGCTGAGATCCAGCCTCCAAGTGAGTGTGTGCGCTGGTGAGTGCCGGCCAGCTCAGAGGTCTCTCTGGAGTGAGTGTGTGCGCTGGTGAGTGCCAGTCAGCTCAGAGGTCCCTCTGGAGCTGCAGCAGGGCGTGGGTTTCCCTCCTTCCTTACTGCAAGCCCCTCTCCTGGAATGCACCCCTCCCCTAGAGGTCCCACACCTTGGGCTATCTGGCAAGCAAAAACAGGCTACTTTCTCCTGCTGGGTGCTCCTTCCCCGGGCAAAACACACTTAGTTGCTGGGAGGGTGAAGTCTGGGGCTGATCCCTGGGGGCCAGAAGGGGGCCTGGGAGAGACAGAAGGAAAGCAGCAAGCCAGTCCTCCAACCTGTAAGGGAAACACTGACTTTTTTTTTGTTCTGAGAGGAAAGCCCTGTACTTAACACAGAGCGGCCCACTTCCCCATGGGTGAAGCTTGGATTCCAGGCTGCCAGTTGCACTGGAGGAGCAGTGGGTCCCAGCTGGGCACTGAGCACAGTCAGGCTTCTCTTCATCCTCGCATAGATGGTTGGGCCTGGAGGCTGGCCCTGGACTTTTGGGGTCTCAGGGCAGGCAGTACTTGGTCGTGAGAGGCTGTAGTCTTGCCCCTCTGGCCCCACTGAGACTATCTGATGGTAGAGGCCATGAACCAGGCCTTGGGAGCTATTTCTAAGAAGACAGCTGCAGCCCCACTCCAGCTCCTGTGCCCCAAGAAGAAGAGCTTTGCAGGGACCCCATCCTCCAAAATAGAACCCCGGACTTTCTAATGATCTCGCTCCAACCAGCAGAGCCATCTTTCAGTCTGGGTCTGCTTCCTCTTTCTTTTCTCTTGGCCTTTTTTTCGGTATCAAGAGAACACGCTCTCCCCTTCTCTCTCTCCATTCTCTCCCAGCCTCTCTCCCGCCCCTCCATATCCCACCTCCTTTTTGTTAGCCTAATACGGGTTACTTTAGAATTGGCCCGACTTTGGCAGCCCCAGCGCTGCGTGTGTGTGTGTGTGCCTGCGTGTGTGTGTGCGCGTGTGTGTGTGTGTGCCTGCGCGTGTATTTCTCGCTTGCTAATGATTGTGTGTTGATAGAGTGATGCAGTGGCCTCATTAGCCTTTGTTTAGAAGGTGTTAAAAGGGAAATCTGCATCGGGAAAGCGGCGGTTTACGCAGCAGCCCGGCTGAACACCGCGAGCCAAGGGGCTGGGGGGCGGGGACGGTGCCCACCCCCCAGGCCCCCACTCTTCCCCCAGGCGCCCACCGCCGCGGACCCCGGGAGGGAGGAGGGGTCCGGGGAAAGCGACCCCAGCTCCTTCCTCCCAAGGCGAGTATGTTTACCCTGCTGGGCACCCTTCCGCTCCGCGGGGACCACTGCGGGATCGCGCTCTCTAAAACTCCTCTCAACTGCCCCGCAGTGCGCGGCGGCCTTTTCCGCCAGGTTTTTTGGGGAGGGGGAAGGGGAGGACAGAGTGCTTCCCCTTCGAAAAAATTCCAAGGGATGTTTTTGAGGGTAGGGGTGAAGTATCTTATTTTAGAGGCAAATACAAATCGGTCCGCAGAAGCCGGGGTCTTCTGGGTGGTTGGTTGGGGGTGAGCTCCCTGTACCCCGATGCCCATGTGGGGGCCCCAGGCTTTAGGGAACCTGCGAAAAGGCCTCTTTCTTTCCTCCTATGGTATTCACAGACAGCCACAGGAAGAGCCTTCCGTGCGTGGGCGGGGGTTGGAGAGGGTTCATTCTTAAACTTTCTTTCCCAGGTCTACCCCTACCCTAGGGCCCCACTTCGGGAACAAATTCCGTGAGAATAAAATCATAGCTAGGCTGGCCTACTTCCCTAAAGCTTGGTGGAAGCGAGTAACTTTATTGAGTCTGGGCTAGAGGGTGTGTGTGTGTTTGTGTGTGTGTGCGTGCGTGTGTGGTGTTTGTTTACATATGTGTGTGGGATTTGGCGAGTGAGCTTCGTGCACGGCATTTTTCACCCTCTGGAAGAAGCCAGATTTCGGGCAAGGTAGAACGTGAGAAGAATCCCTTTTATACTGGCTCCTACGAAAGGAACCAGAAAAAAAAATAATACACATTTTGAGCAGCCTCTGTGGGTGCAGCTTGTTGAACTCGGAGCCAGACGCTTTTTCTGGCGAAACGGAGAAAAAACGCCGCGGAAACGGTGCGCAGGGTTGGGGAGTATAGGTTCTGATTGCAACATAATTCCGCAAGCTTTTTTATTTTTTATTTTTCCCGGGACGCGGTTGCGTCGGAAGAAACGCTTTCTAATCTTTCTAGCTCCCTGGATTTGAAGTTGCGGGTCTTGGGGCGAGGCTTAGCTGGTCTGGGGGTCCTTGCGTGTCCACAGCCCCGGATACGCACCCGCGAAACGTTCGACATCGCCGCTTTTTTGTTTTGTTTTGCTTTGTTTTTTTAGTCGAAGGCGAGGCGTTGTTTGGGGACAGATCGCGGCCGGCTGGGGCCTCGGGCAGTGACAGTGAAACGAATTCCAAACCCATTCTGAACTCGCCATGGCGCTCTCCTGCCCTCCAACACCCACCCCAAACACCGTGTAGGCAGAAGCGAGGTTCCCCGTGAAGCCGGGTTAAAATCGGCAGCTGAGATGCGGTGGGATGGGATCATAGCCGAGTTCGGAGGATGCGGGGAGAGAATAGAAAAATCTCCATCGTTCTGCTCTGCTCTCTTTCTTTCTCCTCTAAGCAGGTTTGCCGGAGAAGGCAGGGGTGAGCCACGGTGGCTGCCCGGCTGTGCACCGGCGCCGGAGTTTGGACCAAGACAAAGACAGGAGCTGTCCGCGGTGCTGAATCGGCGGCGCCGTCGCCGGAGCAAGGGGGCTTCTGTAACCAGCCCTCTGCTCATTTACTCCCCATCCTTCTAGCTCCCCTTCGCTCTGTGACTCTTGCCTTCCCCTGAATTTATTTCCCTTTTGGGGGACTCACCTTAGAACCTGCGCCCTGTACACAGGTGTATATACATATATCAAAGAACAAAACGATTGATTGAAAACGGTGTCTTCTCCTTTCTTCCCAAATAAATGATGTTAGAAAGGTTTATTTTAACTGTACCCTAAAACGGAGAGAAATGGATATTTCTACTCCTAAATAAATGGAAATTCATGTTAAAAACAATAGAGCTAACCTATAACAAATGTCACGAATCTGCCCTCTGATTTATTCTGATAAAGAGGCAATGGGTTTAGAAATTTTAGTTTTGGGAATATCATATCCCTGGCATCTTAACTTCTTGGGTAGAAAAACATAAGAGCTGGAAGCGGGGGGCGGGGGGACTGGTGGTGAACAGACTAAGGCACCTGCCTACGTGAAGAAAGATGGCTTGTGAAGGCCAAAGTGATGGACATGAAGTTGCCTTAACCCTTTGAGACAGAGATGGGATCTGTAAGGATGTCAATCTTCAGGATCAGTAGTAAGAGGAAAGTGATTCCTTTGGAAAGTTTGGATACAAAAGTTAATCTGGTGCTTAATTTTCTAAATGTTCATGGTGTTACCTAGGCATCTGGCATGGTGCATAACCAAGTGTGTTCCTCTGTTCAAATTAGTATGCAGTACTTTCCTAAATAAGTTTGTGCAGGGTAGGAAAAAAAATCACATTTTCCCTCCCTCGTGGGGGAGCACCCATTTTAGTGCACAGAGAGCTGTGTATGTTTCCTCTGGCATCTCATAGATACACTGCCTCCCAGAGAGCCTAGATGCCTTAGGGCCACATCTTCATTTGGTCTTCTCAGCACCCTCCAGGCCTCCCCACTGCAGGAGTGTCAGCTATGCCCAGTTGTTAGTATTGCCAGTACATATGAAGGGGGAGGGGTCCTTGTGAGTTCAATGGAATACAATAACTCCGGCTCCCTACCTGAACATTGAAGAGCTAATTTGCCCACAAAGGCAGAGGAACCAGAATTCTCAAACCCAAAGGATTTGCAATAAAGGGTTGTATCTTTGGGTTAGGGGAGTGACACTCCAGTTTCTCTAGACCCTGACTGTTATCTTTTCACTTAAGCACCCTTAGATCTTTGATTAGGACCAATGTGGTCACTCCTTTGGACCATGCACCTCTATCCCTCTCAGAATGCAGAGCCACATGGTACTAGGAGAGACGTCCTGACCTTGGGTGGGTGAAGGATAAATTTTGTTAAAAATCCATTTATTTAGTGATCACTCTGTACATCTGGTTCCTTAATCTTCATTGCAAATCTAAACATTAGTAGATATATATCATGGCCCTATTTTATGGGTGAGGAAACTGAGGCCCAGAAATATTTATTAAGTTGCTTATAGGTATGCTGTGAAGGCCTGTGATTCTAACCCAGATCTCATTGGCTTTGGAGACTGTGCTTACTCTAATAACCCATGATATTAGAGCCACATAGATGGTTACATTGTGGTTACAATGGTATATATATATATATATATATATATATATATATATATATATATATGTATTTAGCACAGTCCCATTGAATTCCCTGGCCATCATGGCCTGTGGTCTAGACTTCAATTTGCCTTAAGTCCTAAATTTGAAAGGAAGGAGTGAAAATGGTGAGGACAGAGGCTCTCATTTCATGTGGGTTGGGTGGGCATTTCGCAGAATGGGACCAGCTTAATATGAAAATCTCTTGGACCCACACTTAGGAGTCATCCTTGATTTCCCCTTTCTCTCCTGCCTCACACACAATCCATCAGCAAGTTCAGTTAGCTCTGCCTCCAAAATACATTCCAACCCATCTAATTCTCATCTTTTCCTCCATTATCACCCCGGTCGAAGCCACCACCATCTCATCTGTTTTATAGCAGTAGCCTCCTGACCGGGCTCCCTGATTCTTCTATCCTTGCCCTCATCTACAATCTAGTCTCCACACTATAACTAAACTTATATTTTAAAATCATAAATCAGGTCTTGTCATTCTGCTTTTAACCCTCCAACAACTCCCCATTGCACTTAGAATAAAATCCATACTCCTCACCCTGGTCTGCAGGGCTCTTTGTGATTGGTTTTTGCTAGCCTCGCCCCCACCCCTGCTGTGGCTCACACAGACCTAGTTTTTCTCACCTCAAGACCTTTGCACTAGGCTTCCCCTCTGCCCTCAGATTCTTACACTGTTGGTTCCCTTTTGTCATTTAGATCTCAGCTCAAATGTCAGCTTTTCAAAGAAACCTCTCCTGACCACCTTGTCTAAAAGCACCCCATCCCCAGTCACTCTCTAGCCCTCCTCCCTGTCTATTTTCTTTGTAGCTTTTATCAATATCTAGAATTATTCTATTTATATGTTTAGGAGCATATTGTGTATTTCTTAATAAAATATCAGTTCCAAGAGGGCAGACAGACTGTGTTTGTCTTGCTCACTGTTGAATCCCCAATGCCTAGCTCAGTACCTGGAACATAGTTGTTCAATACATATTTGTTGACTGAATGAATAATGAATGAATACATAGACAGAGTTACAGAAGTGAATGGAGATGGATGGGCAGAGCTGAGACAAGACTGAGCTTTATTTGCCCATCTTCTGAGGTCTGCAAATGGAGCAGCTGGCTGGGTAGGTTTCCAGTTTGGAAAGAGGACGAAAGAAAAGCTTATCCAAGGACCCCAAGAGAATGCAGTCATTGGGTGGATTCTTCAGACTAGACACAGAATCACATTGGGGTGGAGAAACAGGTCTGTGGCCTCAGAGAGTGATTTTTATTGTTCTTGCTGGATCTGAAATCTCCGCTTGGTTACAAAAAAACAAAAAAGAGTGATAGTGGAAAACACAATGAATCAAGAAGACATCTAAATTACACAATTTTTGGAAAGGTTACCAGTCCCATCTGTGGGGGAGCTGATGGAGTATAGTGTTAACATCCAGACTCTGGGACCCAGTGCTCCTGTGTTGGAATCTGGCTTCATCACTTACCAGCTGTGCAATAGACGGCAAGTCACTTAGCTTCTTTGTGCCTCAGTTTCCACATTTGAGGGATGGGGATAAAAGTGTGTACTTGTTTCTATGGCAGCTGTCACATAAAAAAGGTGTATGTCTGTCTCAGAGAGTAGCCATGAGGGATTGTTTTGGTCTGTTTTATTTGTGTTAGAGCCTTGCATAGGAGAAAAAAGGAAGCAGAGTAGTAAGAGATGGGGGAAGGCAATGGAGCAAAGAGGCTGTGATGCAAAGGGGAAAAGATGGGACTTACTGTTTAAGAGCTCATCTCCTTCAAGAGCTCTTCTATTACCTGTGGAGGTAGAAGAGGGCTCTGAAGTTAGAGGAGCTGGCTCAGAGTCCTAGTAGCTCCCATGCTAACCCGCTCATGAATGGCAGGTGGGAATGCCCAGCCTCCCTGAATCTCAGTCTCCTAATCCGTTAAATGGGGCAGTAATGGTGCCTGCCTTAGAGAGTTATCGGGATCATTTAGGGAAATGATGTTTGGGAAACTGGGAAGCACCCTGAGCAGTAGCTGGTGTTACTGGTCCTTGTTTGGGGGCGACTTTCTTTATTCTTTACAAAAAGAAGGGTGTTTTTTTTTTTTTCAGGTGAAAGCAAGTGAATTCATTTGGTTGGACCTTGAAATAGTTAGAGAAAGAAGGTGAGGGTTGTCTTCTTGGAGAGAGGTGTAGAGAGCTATGTGCTTGGAGTTATGAAAGGACCTTTCAATATCCAGTCTGAGGGCTGGGGCTGGCCTGCCTTCACACAGAGCTCATTCCCATAGGTTTTATTTGAGCCACTGTCACCCTGCAGGGGAGCTTTCCTGTACATAACAGAAGCATTCTGCAAAGATGTGTGTCCATTCCACGTCTCCTACCCTTTACCCCTTGAACAAAACTCAATAATACTGAACAAAACTCAATAATACTGAGCCCTACTATGAGAAAGAGCCTGTGCTGGGACCGGGGGATGGTGTTTATAAAGGTAAATTAGAAACACGCAAAGCACTCTCCTTCATTTGTTCATTTGGTAAACATGTATTGGACACCTACTGTGTGTGCCTGGGAATGTACCAGAGGCTGCAGAAGCCACTGTGAATGAGCACCTCCCACCGCCCCTACAAGCTGCTCATAGCCTAGCAGAGGAGACCTATACATCAACACAAATTTCTGTACATCTACACGTTACTCTGGATATCAGAGAAAGAAGGGCTATTTATTCATTTATTCACCAAAAAGTGTATGAAGCTGGATGCCTTTGGTTCAGTTATTCACTCTGAGGCTCATTTTCCTCATTTGTAAACCAGGAAAAATAATAATGATAAAAGAAACTAATAACCTCATGGAGTTGTTGGGAGGATTAAATGAGAAGACGAATGTAAGGGGCTTAGCACGGTGCGTGGCACAAGGCAAATGCCCAACTTATGATGGCTTCAATAAATTATTAGTGATGAAATATTAAGTAATAACAATAACATTACAGACTTGCTGAATAGTTGTTTGGAATGGATGCATGAAAGTGCCTTGTCTACAAAAAGCAATCAATACATATTTACAGAATGAAATTGTGCTCTTATTAAGAAAAATAGGAAGGGGCGTGCCTCCGTGTGAAGGAGGAGGATATGAGAACTTCCTGGATCAGATCTCCAGAGACACTAATGTGATCTACTCAGGGTTAAAAAAAGTCCTTTTCTCCCCCTAAAGCCAGCAGGTACTTCTGCCTTCCCTCCCTCTTCTCTTTCACCTTCTACCCACCACTGTTAACCTGTGTGTCTCTTTCCCTCTTCCTGTCCCCTCCTCTTTTGGGAAGCTGCCTTCACATCAGTGGTTCTCCCTGGGAGAGTAGGAAAGGGAATTTTGTTTCCCAAGGAACATTTGGCAATGCCTAGAGACATGTTTGGTTGACACAATTGAGTGGTGATGCTACTGTAGATAGAGGCCAGGGATGCTGCTCAACACCCTACAATATACAGAAGGGTGCCCTGCTTCTCCTGCAGCCCCAGAATTATTCAGCTCAAAATGTCAATAGTGCAGAGGTGAAGACAACCTGCCTCACATCCTGTGGCTGGTAACAAGCCCAGGTTCCCCTGCCCAGCCCCACTGAACGTCCCACTGGGAAGGGGGTGTGTCACTCCCAGCCAGGCCCCGCCCTCTCTCCCCTGAGCCAGTGGGGATCCCTGGCTGGTCAGAGTTCCAGGGCCAGCTGCTGCATGGGCTTTTCCAAGACCTCTCTCTCCTGGTGGGCAAATGTGAAAACCTCTCAGAACCTCTTTGCCTTTCTCCCTCTTTCTAGGAGGCTTTGGCATTTTTGAGGTCCTGAGGAAACCAGACCTCAGAACCTCAAAAGTTGCCATTGGGTCCCTCTCTGGTGAGAGCTGATCCAGCTATTTTGCACATAGCTCTCAGCCTGGCCAAGTGCCCTGTGGAGTCTGCAGGCACGGTGTGCGCAGAGGTGGCCAGGCGGTCGGGGACAAGATGATTGTAAAGTTTGAGAGGCATTACAAGTCCTTCTGGTCTAAAAGATGTCCCCCTTCTGATCTGTTTCAGTGCAAGGCAACTCCACCATTAGCATCACTTCTTGGGCGCTCTTGGGAAGGTAAGCAGCAGTGACAACTTGTCTGGAGATTGCATGTGCCGGGCACTGTGCAAAGCGCTTCCCATGTGTCATCAGCGTAGGCACTGTTATTCCATCCATTTCACAGATGAGGAAACTGAGGTGCAGAGAGGTTGAGCAACTCTTCCAGGATTTCGCAGCCAGTCATTAGCAAAGCCAAGATTGAGGCAAATTTGGAGAGAGTAGGTAGAAAGAACATCAGCTAGTGTCGGGGACAAGCCACAGTCAGCACTCGGAGGCCTGGTTCTGCCTTGGGGCTTACTGTGAGGCTTTGGGAAAGTTCCTAAACCTCTCTGTTCCACCCTTCAATCTGTGAATTAGGAGTTGCATGTCCCCAGCCCAAATTACATTGGCCAGAGCTTCCTGGGGAACTATATTAGCGCCATCTGAAGTGTAATGACTGATATTTGGCAGACATAGAGTTCTGTTTCCTTCTGAGGGCAAACTGATCATGAAGAGGAGCCACTCAGAGACCAGGTCCTTTCCAGGAATGCGGAGCCAAGATAGGAACCAAAGGGAGGGTTTGGTGGAGCCGGCCCATGGGTATTGAGGGTTGTTCTCTGTCTCTCTCCTTACCTGGGGCTTGGAGCAAAGAGACGTGGAAACCTCACCCATAAATAAATAAATAGATGTCCCTGAAGCAGGGCTTATGTGTACAGATCTGGAGAGAGAACTCAGTCATGGGTCAACCAACAAACATCTATTAGGAGAAAAATACATGCCAGGCCTTTAGTGCAGCTTGCTGTGGATGCAAAGATGTTAGAGATTCTTGTCTCCAAGATCTCATGGCTTAAGGAGACACCACCCACGACCTGGCTCCTGAATGTCAGCTCTATCTACCCAACTTCACTGAACTGATTCCAGGAGGGCCCACATACCCCTGAAACTTGGTGTTATCAATGCTGAATCATCACTTTCCCCTCCCTACACCTGCTGCCTCTGTGGCCACTGTCATGAGCTCAGCTGCCTGGGCCAGAAACCCTGCTGGCTCCTTCTCTCTCATCGCACCTCGGATCCATCCCAAATCCTGTTGATTCCCTCTCCTTCATGTCTCTCACCTACCCATGGTCATGCCTCAGTTCAGATCAAAGCCATCTCTTGCCATGACGTTTGGTTCTCACCCTTTCTCTTCCAATCCATTCTTCCTGCCCCAGCCAAAGTGATTTTGTCACAGAATAAAACTGACTAGGTCACTTGTGTGCTTATAACCTGCTCCCTTGTTGCTGTCAAGATAAAATCCCAACCCCATACTTGGTTTCCAAGCCCCTGTCCCCTTCCTTTATATCATCTCTTGCATCTTTTCTCCCCCAGTTTTCTATCATTTGACTGCATTCTCCAGTGTGTTCACTCCCTTCTGAGCCTGTTGTTCCTTTGATCTTAACTATTCTTCCTCCCACTTCCACCCACCTATCTTGCCTTTTGGGTCTCCTCTGAGACAAATCCCCTGTAGGAAACCTTCCATACCCCCATAACTCAGCTGTCTATTTCCCAGCAGGGCACTGAGCTCACGGAGGGCTGGGGCTGGCCTCTACCCACCCCTCCTACCAACATCCAGCCCAGTGTCTGGCTTATAGCCGATGCTAAATAAATAACCAGGGGATGAGTTGATGCAAGGGTCCAGCAACCAGTGACCTCGGCATTTCTGGGAGATGGGGAGACCTGTGAAGTTTTTGTGGGGATTTAGGGTTTCTTTGCGGGGGGTCCAGCTTGACTGAGGAACAGTTGATGTAGAATAAACTGCATATATTTAAAGTGTACAATTTGATGAGCGTTGACATGTACATGCCTGAGAAACTATCAAGGTACACACCTGACACCTCCCCAAAGTCACCTCCTGTCCCTTTATAATCCCTTCTTCCTTCTCCTCCCTGCCTCCACCTCTGGGCAACCACGGATCTGTCTCCTGTCACTGTGGATTAGTTTGCATTTTCTAAACTTTTATAGAAATGGAATCATTCTGTATGTATTCTTTCATGTCTGGCTTCTTTTTCTCAGGCTTTGGCCTGAACTAAGACAGGGCCACAGGTAGGTGAGAGGTGTGAAAGAGAGGGAATCAACAGGGTTAGGGATGGATCTGAGGTGTAGTGACAGGGAAGGGGCCAGCAGGGTTCCTGGCTCAGAGTTGGTTCTGAGCTATGTAATGAAGGATGGGGTATGATTAGACAGGAAGTGGAGGGCATTCTTGTGAGAAGAGAACAATGTGACAAATCCAAAAGTAGAAAACTTTGAGGTAACTAGACCAGGCTGTCGTTCATTCACTCAACAAATATTTATTGAGCTCCAACTATGTGCTAGGCACTCTGCTAGGGACAGGGCTGGAGTGGCGTGCTAGGGGTCTTCTTTTTGCTTCCCTACATCCACTCCCTGACATTTCTCTGCCTGGCCTGGGAGGCTGACCCATTTGGATAGCATCCATGGACTCTCCTTTCACTGGCTTCCCACTGGGCTTGGCCAGTAGACATTCCTGGTGGGTTGGGAGCTATTCCTCTGGCCGCAACTCCTGTCCATTGACTCTCTCTACTGCATGACATCACCATTCCAGTGCTTCTCTGGGCAAAGCTGGGGCTCACCTCTTGGAGGCTTGGTAGAAAGCACCAGAAAATCACCTGGGGGTGGAGACAGGTTTTCTGGAGCCCTTTCTTCAGCATCCCAGGGTGGCAACCATGCGAGTAGCTGGGAGTCTCCTTGGATGACACTCAGGGACTCATGGCCTCTGTGTAATCTCCAAACCGGACCCACCCCAAGGCTTTCCCACAGAGGAAATGCACCTTCAGGGTTTCTGGGACTGAGGTCCCAGCCCTGCCTGCAGGAACAATTCCCAAATGGTCAGAAAGAGATTTCCTTCCCTCCTTCCTTCCTTCCTTCCTTCCTTCCTTCCTTCCTTCCTTCCTTCCTTCCTTCTCTCTCTCTTTCTCTCTTTCTTTCTCTTTCTTCCTTTCTTTCTCTTTCTTCTTTCCTTTCTTTCTTTCTTTCTTTCTTTCTTTCTTTCTTTCTTTCTTTCTTTCTTTCTCTTTCTTTCTTTCCTTTCTTTCTCTTTCTCTCTTTCTCTCTCTCTTTCTTTCTTTCTCTCTCTCTCTCTCTCTCTTTCTTTCTTTCTTTCTTTCTTTCTTTCTTTCTTTCTTTCTTTCTTTCTTTCTTTCTTTCTTTCTTTCTTTCTTTCTTTCTTTCTTTCTTTCTTTCTTTCTTTCTTTCTGTCTTCACTGCAGCCTTAACCTCCAGGGCTCAAGTGATCCTCCCACATCAGCCTCCTAAGTAGCTAGGACCACAAGTGTGCACCACCACACCCAGTTAATTTTTTGTATTTTTTGTAGAGACAAGATTTTACCATGTAGCTCAGGCTGATCTTGAACTCTTGGGTTCGTAGCAATTCGCCCACCTTGGCTTCCCAAAGTGCTGGGATTACAGGCATGAGCCACCACGCCTGGCCAATAGAAAAAGATTTCCAAACTTAGCCTCAGTCCTCTTTTGATCCATATACTTCTCCCAATAACACAGCTAAGGTTTGTAGCTGAAAAACCTTGAATGGAAAGTGACAGAATCTCACTCTGTCTTTTGCAGAGCCATGTGCTTGGTTGCTTGGGCTGGTCTGCCGTTTATCTTAAAGATGGTCCCACAGGGCCTGTGATCCTCCAGTTGGACCTAGTGAAAATGGATGTGAATTTGCTTTCTTCTTTGCAAACAGACCATAAGCATCCTGAAGAAAAGTCCCTTCATCTCCACTCTTTAACTCCTCATTACTTAATATCTTTCATTTTTTATTCTTTGTTTTCTGGAGACAGGGTCTCACTCTGTCAACCAGGCTGGAGTACAGTGGCTGGATCACAGCTCACTGCAGTTGCCACCCTCTGGACTTTAGTGATCCTTCTGTCTCAGCGTCTTGAATAGTTGGGATCACAAGTGTGCACTACCACACCTGGATACTATAAAAAGTTATTTGTAGAGATGGGGTCTCACTGTGTTGCTCAGGCTGGTCTCAAACTCGTGGGCTCAAGTAATCCTCCTGCCTAGGCTTCCCAAAGTGCTGGGATTTTGGGCATAAACCACCACACCCAGCCTACTTAATATCTTTCTGGACCATGAAAACACTCGTTTTATTTTTGGGGAGTGGTGTGCTATGGGAGGTGGAAGCTCTCCCATAAGCAGCCCTTGCTTTGAATAGGGTTGCTTCTTAAATACTTTTCTGCCTGAATACAGAAGAAATCCAAGCTCATGGAGGAACATTTTGGAAATGAAGCCAGTTGTCAAAGAATAATAAATGAGAGGTGTCCAATCTGGAGCAGGCTTCCTTCCATTAAGTCCTGGTCCTTCCTGGGTAGTGGTGAAACTTACAAATGGGAATTGTTGAAGGGCTTGGGGAGGCACTGTCTGAAGACTTGAAGGCTTTTGAGTCTCTGAGGGGCTGCTATTTGATGGAGGAATTAGGTCTGTTTGGACAGGCCTGGAAGGTTGAAAAAGGGCCTTTGGATGGAAGCTCTGGGGAGGCAGATTTAACAACTACAGAAGGTCAATCTTGCCAATGGTTAGGGCTGTTGAAAAGGGGATGAGCCTCCCCATCACTGGGATATGCAAGAAATGGTTGATGGAGTACAGAGGGCATTTCTAAGGGAGATTGGACCAGACCACCAGTTCCCAATTGCCCTCAGACTGGACGCATCAGAATCACCGAGGCTCTTGCTAAAAAACCCAGATTCATTCGTTCATGGATACAGCTGATGTCTACTGAGCACCTGCTACGTGTCAGGCAGTGGGCTAGGCAGCGAGGCCACCATGCTGTTGAGGCAGTTGAGACCCTGGTTCGCACATGACTTATGTTCTAGCTGGGGAGACAGAAAATGGACAAGATACAAATAAGATCACTTTGTATTGTGATGAGGGCCCAACACAGATAATAGGATGGAGGTGACAGGGACCGGGGGACCTCATTTAGATTTAGGTCCCAGGAGGTGACTTTCTTTTTGCTTGAGATAGGGTTTGATATGGTTTGGCTGTGTCCCCATTCAAATCTCAACTTGAATCATATCTCCCAGAATTCCCACATGTTGTGGGAGGGGTCTAGGGGGATGTAATTGAATCATGGGGACTGGTCTTTCCCTTGCTATTCTTGTGATAGTGAATAAGTCTCATGAGATCTGATGGGCTTATCAGGGGTTTCCGCTTTTGCTTCTTTCTCATTTTTCTCTTGCTGCCACCATGTAAGAAGTGGCTTTTGCTTCCTGCCATGGTTCTGAGGCCTCCCCAGCCACGTGGAACTGTAAGTCCAATTAAACCTCTTTTTCTTCCCAGTCTCGGGTATGTCTTTATCAGCAGTGTGAAAATGGACTGATACGGTAAATTGGTACCAGTAGAATGATAGAATGGAGTGCTGCTGAAAAGATACCCAAAAATGTGGAAGTGACTTTGGAACTGGGTAACAGGCAGAGATTGGAACAGTTTGGAGGGCTCAGAAGAAGACAGGAAAATGTGGGAAAATTTGGAACCTCCCAGAGACTTGTTGAATGGCTTTGACAAAAATGCTGGTAGTGGTATGAACAATAAGGTCCAGGCTGAGGTGGTCTCAGATGGAGATGAGGAACTTGTTGGGAACTGGAGCAAAGGTGACTCTTTCTATGCTTTAACAAAGAGACTGGTGGCATTTTGACCCTGCCCTAGAGATTTGTGAAACTTTGAACTTGAGAGAGATGATTTAGGGTATCTGGTGGAAGAAATTTCTAAGCAGCAAAGCATTCAAAATGTGACTTGGGTGCTGTTAAAAGCATTCTGTTTTAAAAGGGAAATGGAGGATAAAAGTTCAGAAAATTTGCAGCCTGATGATGCAGTCGAAAAGAAAAACCCATTTCCTGGGGAGAAATTCAAGCCAGCTGCAGAAATGTGCAAAGGTAGGAAGGAGCCTAATGTTAATCCCAAAGACCATGAAGAAAATGTCTCCAGGCCATGTCAGAGACCTTCACAGCAGCCCCTCCCATCACAGGCCAGGAGGCCCAGGAGGAAAAAGTGGTTTTGTGGGCTGGGCCCAGGGTCCCTGTGCGATGTGCAGTCTAGGGACTTGGTGCCCTGTGTCCCAGCCACTCCAGCCATGGCTGAAAGGAGCCAATGTACAGCTCAGGCTGTGGCTTCAGAGGGTGGAGGCCCCAAGCCTTGGCAGCTTCCATGAGGTGTTGAACCTGTGGATGCACAGAAGTCAATAATTGAGGTTTTGGAACCTCTGCCTAGATTTCAGAAGATGTATGGAAACACCTGGATGCCCAGGCAAAAGTTTGCTGCAGGGACAGGGCCCTCATGGAGAACCTGTGCTAGGGCAGTGTGGAAGGGAAATATGGGGTGGGAGCCACCACACAGAATCCCTTCTGGGGCACTGCCTAGTGGAGCTGTGAGAAGAGGGCCACCATCTTCCAGACCCCAGAATGGTAGATCCACTGACAGCTTGCACCATGAGCCTGGAAAAGCCATAGATGCTCAATGCCAGCCCATGAAAGCAGCCAGGAGGAGGGCTGTATCCTGCAAAGCCACAGGGGTGGTGCTGCCCAAGACCATGGGAACCCACCTCTTCCATCAGCATAGCCTGGAGGTGAGACATGGAGTCAAAGGAAATCATTTTGGAGCTTTAAAATTTGACTGTCCTTCTGGATTTTGGACCTGCATGGGCCCTGTAACCCCTTTGTTTTGGCCAATGTCTCCCATTTGGAATGGCTGTATTTACCCAATGCCTGTACTCCCATTGTATCTAGGAATTAACTAGCTTGCTTTCGATTTTACAGGCTCATGGGCGGAAGGGACTTGCCTTGTCTCAAATGAGATTTTGGACTATGGACTTTTAGGTTAATGCTGAAATGAGTTAAGACTTTGGGGGATTGTTGGGAAAGCATGATTGGTTTTGAAATGTGAGGACATGAGATTTGGAGGGGTCAGGGTGGAATGATATGGTTTGGCTGTGTCCCCATTCAAATCTCAACTTGAATTGTATCTCCCAGAATTCCCACATTGTTGTGGGAAGCACCCAGGGGGAGGTAATTGAATCCTGGAGGCTGATCTTTCCTGTGCTATTCTCATGATAGTGAATAGGTCTCATGAGATCTGATGGGTTTATCAGTGGTTTCCACTTTTGCTTCCTCCTCATTTTTCTCTTGCCGCTGCCATGTAAGAAGTGCCTTTTGCCTCCTGCCATGATTCTGAGGCCTCACCAGCCATGCGGAACTGTAAGTCCAATTAAGCCTTTTTTCTTCCTAGTCTTGGGTATCTCTTTATCAGCAGTGTGAAAATGGACTAATACAGCATTTCATTTCTGTTGCCCAGGCTGGAGTTCAGTGGCATGATCAGAGCTGACTGTAGCCTTGACTTCCTGGGCTCAGGTGATCCTCCTGCCTCAGCCTCCTGAGTAGCTGGGACTACAGGCATTCATCATCGGGCCTGGCTATTTTTTTTTTTTTTTTTTAGTAGAGATGGCATTTTGCCATGTTGCCCAGGCTGGGTCTTGAACTTCTGGCCTCAAGCAATTCACCTACCTCAGCTTCCCAAAGTGCTGGAATTATAGGTGTGAACCACTGCCCCTGACCTTTAAGCTGAGACCAGGATGACATCAAAAAGCCAGCCTTGGGAAGATCCAGGGAGAGTGTCCCTGATAGAAGAAACAGTTGTGGTTGACAGAAGGGGAATGTGTTGGAGAATTGGGGTCAGATCACGTGGGGTGTTGTGGGGAATCATGGGGTGCCTGGATTCTGTTTGCAGTAGAGTCATCAGAACCCCCAGGAGATAGTGGGGCCAGAGAATCCACTTTTCAAATCAGTTTTCCTGGAGATTCTGATATGCAGCCAGCTTTGAGACTCTCTAGACAAGAGGACCTTTGGGGCATTCTCTAATGCCAGCTGTCTCTCTCTTGCTCACTACTCCTTGTCCCCAAGGCAGCCTGCCTTTCTGGAATGAGGAGAGGAGAAAGCTTGAGGCAATCTGGAATATTTTCATTGTTGTCTTCTCATCTCCCATTCCCTGCCTTTGCTAATTTTTCTAGGGAAGGCTTTTAAAATAGGGGAAGGACATGAAATTGGAGATGAAGAAGGCTTGTGTATCCCACTCCTTCTGGCTGGAGGTTTGAGAAATACTTTCCTACAAAGCAGTAAGGGGCAATGTGGTTCTGTTTGTGAGTGAGAACCTGGACAAGGAAGTGGCAGGACTGGCTGGTACCAAATGCAAATATGGGGCCCCTTGCTTGACTGTGATTAAGAGTTTCAAGATGGTGGCAGTGGAGCATTAAAACCAGGTATGGGGGCCTTCCGAACTAGGCCCTGTGCAACTATGCAGGTTGTGGACCTACGAAGCTGGTCCTGGAGGGAGGAGACAGCAGGCAGGGTGACATGGGAAGAGAAGAAGAGAGGTGAGGGAACCAGGTGCGGTGGCTCATGCCTGTAATCCCAGCACTTTGGGAGGCTGAGGCAGAAGGATCATTTGAGATCAGGAGTTCAAGACTAGCCTGGCCAACGCGGTGAAACCCGTATCTACTAAAATAGAAAAATTAGCCAGGTATGGTGGTACACGCCTGTAATCCCAGCTACTCAGGAGGCTAAGGCATGAGAACCCCTTTAACGTGGGAGGCAGAGGTTGGAGTGAGCTGAGACTGCGCCACTGCACTCCAGCCCGGGCATCAGAGAGGGACTCTGTCTAAAAAAAACAAAAACAAAAACAAAACCCACAAAAAAGCAAAACAAAAAAGGCCTCACACAGTTACCTTGGTGAATTATGGCTCCTGGAGGGCTTTCTGCTACCAGACATGGAGGCAGCCCTTGACTTACTTTATCCCAGTTCAGCCTCCCAACAACCCCTGTGGTAGGTGCCATTATCATCTCGACTCAGCAGAAGAGGAAACTGAGGCCCAGAGAGCTGAGGTCGCAATCCCAAGGTCACAGAGCTAGGAGTGGGGCAAATCTGCAATTTGAACACAGGTTCCCAGACCCAGAGCTGTCACTCCAAGCTATTATTCTACTCCTAAAGTCCCCAAAGCCAGACTGGCACAGGGGAGGTGTAGAGGCCAATGTCCTGGGCTGGAGCCCTTGTTCTCATGGTGTCCCTGAGACACCTTGGGTACATTATGCTCTGACTGTTATGGTCATAAGCCCAGAAAAAGGCAGTGGCTTCCTACTGGCCTCCCTGCTGCTCTCCTTGCCCCTTCTGGGTTAATCTCTGTCCAGCAGTGATTATTACTATTACTATTTTTGAGACAGGGTCTCGCTCTGTCCCCAGGGTAGAGTGCAGTGGTGTGATCATGGCTCACTGCAGCCTCAACGTCCTGGGCTCAAATGATCCTCCCACCTTAGCCTCCCAAATATTGGGGTTACAGGAGTGAGCCAGTGTGCCCGGCCAATTATTATTTTTTATTGTGAGTGTGGTATAATACATATAACATAAAATTTGCCATTTTAACTATTCTTTTCCTTTTTTAAATTCAAGAAGAATAAAATATTTTAACCATTTTTAAGGGGCGCAGTTTGGTGGCATTAAGTACATTCACAATGTTGTGCAACCATCACCATCTAGTTCCCAAACTTTATTACCCCAAACAGAAACTCTGTTTCCCTGAAGCAATAACTTCTCATTTCCCTTGTCCCCTGGCAACTTCTGGTTTACATTCTGTCTCTCTGCATTTGCCTATTCAAGGTATTTCATACACGTGGAATCACATAATAGTTGTCCTCTAGTGACCGGCTTATTTCACATAGTATAATGCTTTCGAGGTTCTTTCATGTTGTAATGTGTGTCAGGACTTTGTTCCTTTTTATGGCTGAATCATATTCCAGGGTATAGATAGACCATGTTTGTTTATCTATTCATTTGATGACAGACATTTAGGCTGTTTCCACCTTTTGGCCATTATAAGTAATGCTGCCATGAATATCTATATGCAGTGATCTGTGTGAGTCTCGGGGTTTTTAATTCTCTCTCTCTCTAGACTATATTTATAGAATATGTATGTATCTATCATCTATCTATCATCTATCATCTATCTATCTATCTAATCTATCTGTCTGTCTGTCTGTCTGTCTGTCTGCCTGTCTGTCCGTCCGTCCGTCCATCCATCCATCCATCCATCTATTTCTATCTATCTATCTATCTATCTATCTATCTATCTATCTATCTATCTATCTAATCTATCTGTCTGTCTGTCTGTCTGTCTATCCATCCATCCATCCATCCATCCATCCATCCATCCATCCATCTATATCTATCTATCTATCTATCTATCTATCTATCTATCTATCTATCTATCGAGAGAGAGAGAGAGACAGAGGCTCGTTCTGTCACCCAGGCTGGAGTGCAGTGGTGCGATCTCTGCTCAGTGCAACCTCAGTCTCCCAGGTTCAAGTGATTCTCCTGTCTCAGCCTCTTGAGTACCTGGGACTGCAGATTGCTGGGACTACAGGCACGTGCCACCACATCCAGCTAATTTTTGTATTTTTAGTAGAGACAGGGTTTCACCATGTTGGCCAGGCTTGTCTCGAACTCCTGACCTCAGGCGATCTGCCTGCCTCAGTCTCCCAAAGTGTTGGGATTATAGGCGTGAGCCACTGTGCCCAGCCTTAGGTTTTTAATTCTCTCAGGCATACACTGAGAAAGCAGTGATGTGGGCAACGTTAAGTCAGAACCTATCACTTTCTTGTAGTGGATCCCATCACGCTTGAATAAAATCCAAGCTGCCCCCATGCCTGGGCTTCTCCTGCCTGACTGCCTTCATTCCCCCACCCTCTCCTCTTTTTCCTCTGCTCCAGCCACCCGGCCTCCCTGCTGCCCTCACAGCCATGCATATGCCTACCTCTGGGCCTTTGCACTGGCTGTTTTCTCTGCCTGTAAACCAGCTGGCCTCAAGTACCCAAGGGGCTGAGCCTCCCACTTTAACTCAGGCCTCTGTTCAAATGTCACCTTCCCAGAGGAGTCCTCCCTGACATCCTTGTTCAAAACAGTATAGCTCCCCTTCCTTCCTCTTTCTTTCTTTTCTTTCTTTCTTTTTCTTTCTTTCTTTCGTTCTTTCTTTCTTTCTCTTTCTTTCTCTCTTTCTTTCTTCTTTTTCTTTCTTTCTTTCTTTTTTGAGACGGAGTCTCACTCTGTTGCCCTGGCTGGACTGCAGTGGCACAATCATAGCTCACTGCGTCTTCCTCCACCTCCTGGGCTCAAACAATCCTTCCATTTCAGCCTCCCGCTAGTTGGAACTACAGACACACTGAAGCTCTTTTCTTCCTGGCACTCCCTTCCATCTGAAGGTGTCATTCATGTATTTGTTTTTCTTGCCCCCTAGAATGTCAGTGTCAGGTGAATCCTTGCATCTCAAGGCCTGGCCCAATGCCTGGCACGAGGGACCCACTCATTAAATATTAGGATGAACCATTTTAATTTGTTGATATTTGACTGGTTTTGATCTTTAAAAATGGCAATTTCAAGTGTTCCTACCTAATCTTGAACGAATAAGTGAATAAACGAACGAATGCATTTTTCTTCTCTGTGCCTCTGCCCTCTTGCCTACAAGGTGGGGTCAATGATTGCAGGATGAAAGTCCTGGGGAAACAGGAATGTCAGGCCCAGGGGCAGGGACTGGAGGTCAGCCCCCTAGCGAGGCTGCTGCTGCCCCTCTGTGCCAGAGAAGGGGGAGGCCGGGCGTCTGGGAGGCCCTGCGGCTGGAGATATGGGCATGATGAATGGATTGTGGAATAGGTCCTAGGAGGAGAGGGAATGGATAGGAATGACACTATTTAGCTGAGGAATGACCTCCTGACACTCTTCAAATAAATGCGGGCTTGTTATAGAGATGGGGAGGCAGCTGCCGCCGCTGCCGCTTGTGATTCTGGTATACAAGAACAAAACGGACTGGCAGTGCATGTGCATGCGTGTGTGTGTGTGTCAGGGTGTGTGGGTGTGTGCCAGGGTGTGTGGGTGTGTATATGAATCTGTGTGCATGTGAGGTTGTGTATCTGTCTGTGTCAATCTGTGTGTGTTTGCATGGATCTATGTGTGTCTGTCTGTGTTTGTCTCCTTTGTGTGTCTGTGCATGTGTGTCTATGTGTTCTTTACGTAGATGTGGAAGAATGGGTTGTTGTAAGGGTGTCTCTGTGTGTATGTGTCTATCTTTATGTAGGTACGTGTGTGTGTCTGATTGTCTGCCTGGCTTTCTGAGTCTGTTTATCTGTGTTTGTTTGTGTGTATGTTTATATTCATGTGTCTGTCTTTGTACATGTCTGTCTTTGTATGTGTATGTCTGTCTGTCTCTGTTACATGTCTGTCTGTCTTTGTGTGTGCCTGTCTGTCTCTGTGTATGTGTTTGTCTCTGTGTATGTATTTGTGTGTGCCTGTGTGTCTGTCTTTGACGTGCCTGAACATAAGAGCCACCTGGATTCATGAAAGAAGCAGCTTTCCTGCACCTCCAGAGCTGTCCACTTTCCATTTAAGTTCCAACTATGAAACCTTCACTGGCTGAGCATCTACCATGCACCAGGCACTGCACTCGGAGAGTAAAACCAAAAACAGAGCACCTGGAGATAAAGAACTCACTGTGCCCCTTGGATTCAGACGAACACGTTAAGGGAACGACAGGCAGTAATTAACCACTAACTGGGTGTCTCAAGAACTTCCTGTGGCTGTTTGAAAATCTCATTTCTGCTTCTATGAAGTGAGTGCTATCATTGTTCCCACTTTGCATGGGGGAAGCTGAGGCACAGAGAGGGCAAGTCACTTGCCCAAGGACACACAGCAAGTTGATGGTGAGATGGGGAGTTGGTCAATCTCTAGGACTCACGTTCTTTTCTATTTACACTGAAGATCTTTATTGATTGACAGTAAAAGCAATCATTTGGGAGAATTAATTTTTTTTCTTAATTTCCAAGCCTCTCTTGGTTTTCAAGGAGAGTTAAAAAATACTCCAACCTACCCCTATGTCAGGTCATAAAGTCATACACAACCGTCCCGAGGGCTGCCTGGGTGCCTGCTACTCACAGACAGGAGGGATGAGAGACCAGAGGGCTAGGGAGGCCAGGGGAAGGGCCCCGCCATACCACTGGCCAGGCAGCATCTCTAACAGGTGATGCTGGGGAGGAGTGCCAGGTGGAGCATGTCAAGAAGGCCCTTTGAGAAGGAGGGCCAGACCGGACCAAGTGCTTTGGCCAGCGGGATTTAATCAAGTGCAGGCAGGAGCTCAGGAGGGTGAGCAAAGGGCCTTGTCTCTCACAGTGTGGTCCGAGGACAACCTCCATCAGTGTCACCTGGGATACGGGTTAAAGATGTAGATTCCTGGGTTTGCTGTAGGCCTACAGAAGCAGTTTCTACAGCAGCAGTTTATCTCAAGGTAGGGCCCATGAATCTGAATCTTTTAAAGGGCTTCAGATAATTCTCTCTCTTTTTTTTTTGAGACAGAGTCTCACTCTGTCGTCCATGCTGGAGTGCAGTGGCGCCATCTCGGCTCACTGCAACCTCTGCCTCCTGGGTTCAAGCAATTCTCCTGCTTCAGCCTCCTAAGTAGCTGGGATTACAGGCATGTGCCACCATGCCCAGCTAATTTTTGTATTTTTAGTAGAGATGGGGTTTTTTTTTTTTACCATGTTGGCTGGCCTCAAGCAATCTGCCTGCCTCGGCCTCCCAAAGTGCTGGGATTACAGGCGTGAGCCACTGCACCTGGCCTTCAGATGATTCTTATACTCACTTGTATTTCAAAACCACAGACATTTGGGTTGCAAGGCGAAGCTGGAGGGGAGTAGGTAGTGCCAGATCACAGATGGGCTTGAACACTGTGCTACACTTGGACTTTGTTCTAATGGCCATAGGGAGCCATCAGAGGTGTTTGAGCAGGGGAGGAACTGGTTTATTTCTCCAGTGGCACAGTGAAGGCTGATTGTAAGGAAATAAGATAACAGGCAGAGAGAACTGATATAAGACATTGTACAATAACCCACGTAAGAAATAGTAAGGCCTGAATTTGGACAGGGAAGTCTGGGGAAGGGGCAGAATGTCACTAAGCGGCTTATTTGTGACATTGGCGAAGTTGTGGAATGTCCTCCTTGCATGGAGGCCAGGGCTGGGGGGCAAATGTCTTGACATTCCAATGTAGAGCTGTCTTCTAGGTTTAGATTTATGCTCTGAATTTCACCAAACCAGAGAAGGCTTCCTGGAGGAGGTGATGTCATCACCAGAGCTCAGTGAGTGGCAAAGCCAGGGAGAAAAGAAATGGGGTTTGGGGAGAAATGGTCCAGTGTTCAAAGCCACTCCATCCTAAGGGGCTTCCTGCATCCAGGGCATTGCTGATTTCTCCACAGAGAGTTCCAGGGACCCCTCCTGGGTGTGTGTCCTCCATCAAGACGTGGAGAAAGTTGATTAGTGTGGGAGGCAGCCAGGACTGGCGTTTCTAATTAACACGCAGGCAGGGAGAATGCCTCTTCTTCCAGAATCTGTATTCAGCTGATTGAATATCAGGGCTGGGGCTAAACTATGAATCGTGTGTCAAAAAATAAAGCCTGTGCTCTCGGCTCGTTAAAGGAACAGCGTCCCATTTTCAGTTCTCTGCTTCTCCAACAGCCTGCCTGGACAGGGAGGAGGACCCATGAGATGGAGACCCCTGGAGCTGGGTGTGAGGCCTGGGGGAGGCTCCAGGCAGGCATGAGAAGGGAGAGGCATTTGGGGAATGGAGAGATCAGGCTCGGATGGAGAAACCCCAGAGGAAGATGGAGGAGAACCCCAGATGGGTTTTTGGGAGCTACTAGGTTCAGGAGGAGAAGGAAAAGAAACGGGCCGTAAAAAGAAAAAGGCAGCTTGCTATGGCAGGGGAGAGAGAGAGAGGGGCGAGCAAACACAGGTTCATTAATCTGTAGTTCGTCTGCCTTTTCTGTTAGGAGGATGAACTTGATGAGTTAATTAAGTCGCAGTCTGTAAAACCAGTTTATTTGCATAGCAAACTCCTGGGCCAGTGTGCTGTGAGTTGAGTGTGTACCAGCAGACAATTCGGGGGAAATTACAGCCTCATTAATATGCTAATCTGGTTGCAGGCCTGGAACGGAGTTTTGGGTTGGTGGTGCTTGGGGGTGGTGGGTGTTTGGTTGCTTAGCAACCCTTTTCTCCAGGTAACCCTTCTCTGGCTTGCCCTTGATATCCCCAAAGGATTGCAATGTGGAAGACGAGGTAAGCAGGGAAAGCATTCTGTTGTCACAGAACAGTGAGCAAAATAAAAGGCAAACACACACACACATTCACACGCATAGCCACATTATGCCGGTGTCTCTACAAACAGGCTCGGGAGGGGGCAGGGGAGGCTGTGTGGGTGCAATAGACAGACACCAACATGCAAAAGCACAGTGTGTGGAGTCTGTGGCAATAGACACAGAGATGGTAACACTCTACTACACACACACACACGCACACACATACTTGCATGTGGATGCAAACACAATTGGTGCATGGGTTTTGTTTAACAAATAAACCTGCACAATGGGATACTCAGCCTCTGCAATAATGCATACTGTTTGTACTACCCCCATCTCACACACACACACACACACACACACACACTCAGAACCTGTGTGTGAAGTCTTTCCCAATAACACAATAGATGCAAATGCGCTAAACATAGTCATATGCAGATTCTGTAAATGATTAATAATCAACTGTAAAATGCACAGACAAACACACATACACGTTGCACAGAGCTTGCACAAATAGGCTCTGGAGAAAATGACAGGTAGGTGTGTGCATATGTGGACACACAGAAACATACATGCACCATATATGACACTGATGCAAAAAGACATTGGGTGTAGTATGCATGGACACAGAAACAATGCATGACAAGGTCTAGTGAGAGTCACTTGGTTAGATTCAACACACACACAGAGGCATGCAGCAGAGAGCTCACAGTTTCAGAGTCCTATCCCTTTTCCCTCTCCCTTGTTTCTTCTGAACTAAGCCTACTTTTTATATCGCACATTCCTGCTGCCTCTCCACATTCCCAGGCTCAGTGACTGCCCCCATCCATGCTTTGCCCAACCCTTTGTCCCTTCCTTACCCACCTGGTTGCAGCACTGTCTTCTCAGGCTATTGTGTATCTGACAGGCAGCACCAAAGATAGCCAAGCTTCCCCAGAAAGATCAATGTATGGGACTCAAGGGCGTTAATGCCTTACCTTGCCATAAAAAAAGAACCACGCCCAGACAGTCTTACAGGTGAGTTGTATAAATGTTAAGAAGCAGATAACTCTTGTATTAGATTTTTCCAGAAAAATAAAACAAAAGGAAAGCTGTCCAACTCGCAATTTTGACAATAAGCCTAGGCAAGAGAATACAAGAAAAGAATCACCAGTAATTGGAGGAATGTTTATGAAAAAAACCTCAATGACTTACTATGGTATTCCTATCCAACTGGTAAAAATCAGAACATTGGGACATATAACACCAAGAGCTGGTGAGGACATGGAGAAATAAATGTCCTGATGTGTGCTGTGGGGTATTGCCTGGAGCAGCCAGTTTGAGGAGTGGTTAGCCAGTATTTTATGATGTTAAATATTTGCAGACAGCATGCTCCAGAAATTCAATTCTTGGGTAGGAACCGCAGAGAAACTCTCAGATATATAAGAAAACATGCATGAAACATGCATGTTCATTGCAGCAGTGTTCATACTGGCAAACAGGCAAACTGATGGTCCATCATTAGGCAAATGGATAAAGAAAACAAGGTAAAGAGAGGTGTTCAAGATCGTGCAGCAGCAGAAAGACCAAACTAGAGCTACACATAACACCATGGATGACCACAAAAATATGGTATGTGAAAAAGTATGGAACAGAATAAGACTTGTAAAATCAATATCATTTGGGTAAATTAAAAACAATAATACTGTTTATCAACAGTTGACTGGATGGACAAATTGCATACAGTGGAGTACTACGCAGCAATTAAAAGGAACATGGTGTTGATCTGGGTAGTGATACTGGTGAATCTCAAGAGCTTCATGCCAAGTGAAAGAAGCCAGGCCCAAAAGAGTCCCTATGATAGGATTCCATTTATAGGAATGTGGAGAATAGTCAAAACTGATCTATGGGGACAGGAAACACATCAAAGGCTCCCTGGATTGGGGGGTGGGGGTGGGGGAATTGACTCCAAAGAGATTCAAGGAAACTTTTTCCTGGGGTGTTGGAAAAGTTCTATATCTTGGTTGTGGAGGTTACATGAGTGTATACATTTATCAAAACATATCAAGCTGTACCCTTAGAACAGATGCATCATTTGAATATAAATTAGTCTCAATAAAGTTTATTTAAAACAATTATTTTGTTGTAAATAATGAGATATAAGATAATACTGTAAAAATTTTAATGATATCTATCTCTATATCCATCTTCTGTAATCCATTCTCTCTATCAATCATCTATAACATATAATCTATCAATCAATCACCTATAATCCATCATCAATCTGTAGTGAGACCCCATCTGTATGAAAAATAAAAAAATTAGCCCAGTGTGGTGGCACATGGCTGTAGCCCCAGTTACTTGGGAGGCTGAGGTGGGAGGAGCACTTGAGCCCAGGAGTTTGAGGCTGCAGTGAGCTGTGATCGCATCAGTACACTCCAGCTGGGATCACAAAGTGAGAATCTGTAAAATAAAATAAAATAAAGTGAAATAAAATAAATCTATCTATCATCTATGATCCATCTTTCCATCACCTATCTATCATCTATGTATCATCTATATTCTATCTATTTGACACACATAAGTGCCTGTAGTGGGAAGGAAAATGAAATTGTGAATGGGCAATTGTGGTAGATTGGATCATTGATCATCATTCCCAGCCCTTCTCTCCCTCCTTGTTATAGAATTATACTTCTCCACCTTTGCCAAGTCTTCGGTGTGTGTGTGTGGTAGTTCCCTGCCCCTTCCTTGACCTTGGACTTAGGCAACTGACTTTTGGCCAAAGGAATGTTAAAGGATGTGACACAACCAGAGGTTTTCAATGTGCTTGTGGGGTTTGCCTTGCTCTCTTAACTTTTATGATCCCCCATGATAAGCTCATGCCCCAGGCAGCCACTTCCCCTTTAGTCTGGGCCCTGTGGAGCAGACCTGGGCCCTCTAGGAATCCTGGAGCGCAGCTGAGCTGACCCAGCTGGGCCCAGTCTGGATCAGCCAAACCACAGCCAACCCACAGGCTCACATGTGTGAAAAAAAACCTGACAAACATGTTTATTGTTGTAAGCCTCTGGGGTTTTGAGGTTGTTTGTTCTGCAGCATCAATGCAGTAAAAGCTGACTAATACAGAAATAAAGGGAAAAATAATACTAAAATAAAAAGCAAAAGAGGAGCCTTGCCTGAATAAATGACAATAGCATGCGCTATGAGTTGAGGAGAGAATTATCTTAATTCCAGCACCTAGGGTTAGAAAGGAACCAACCCATCCACTCACAAACTCCCTACGCATCTTCAGGGCACCTTACACATGCCTGTAATCCCAGCTATTCGGGACGCTGAGGCAGAAGAATTGCTTGAACCCGAGAGGTGGAGGTTGCAGTGAGCACCACATGCTCCAGCCTGGGCAACAGAAGAGTCTCAAAATAATAATAATAATAATAATAATAATAATAATAATAATAATACAGCCATGAACAAGTCTGCCCTCATGGGTTTCCTAGAGCTTCTGTTCTAAGAAGAGAAACGGTCAATATACAAATAATGTTGTATACAAAAAATGTTGGCAAAACAACCAGGCCCAGATTCCAACTCTCCTTATCTGAAACTGGGGAAACCCCACCTTCCTTCCTTCATCCTGGAGTGCTTAATTTTAGAATCTCCCACAGTTAGAAAGGAATTTAATTTACCCGCATTGCTCTGGTCCCCCGACGTGATTCTGCAGTTTCTAAAAACTGCTCCTTCACACTCTCAGGGCCTGTGCCAAGGTTGTTCCTCCTGCCCAAAACACTGTTCCTGTGACGGAAACTTATTTACCCCTCAAGACTCAGATCAAATGGGCACTCAGAAAATATTCGTTATAGTAACTTTCTGCACATGCTAGGGTTGTACTCTGCTAAGTGCTTCCCATAAATCATCTCACTTCATCTTCACAAGAACTTCATAAGATAGGTGCTATTGCTGTCTCCATTTTACAGATGAGAAACTGAGGCTCAGAGAGGTTAAGCAACTTGCCCTTGGTCACACAGCCATCCAGTGATAAAAATCTATGAGTCTGGCCAGGCGTGGTGGCTCACACCTATAATCCCAGGACTTTGGGAGGCCGAGGTGGGCGGATCATGAGTTAAGGAGTTCGAGACCAGCCTGACCAACATGGTAAAACCCCGTCTCGACTAAAAATACAAAAATTAGCCAGATATGGGGGCACGTGCCTGTAATCCCAGCTACTCAGGAGGCTGAGGCAGTAGAATCGCTTGAACCTGGGAGGCGGAGATTGCAGTGAGCCAAGATCACGCCACTGCACTCCAGCCTGGGCGACAGAGCGAGACTCCGTCTCAAAAAACAAAACAAAACAAAAAAAAAACTATGGGTCTGATGTCAAAACCTTGGTCCAAAATCAAAGAACTTTGATCCTAGATTTTTTTAGGATGTCCCCTCTGTTGGATGTCTCTGCTCTTCCAAGAAGGCAGCAGGAGGCAGGGAGGCAGGGAGATTGTTCTGTGATGGAAGCCTTAATGTGCTTGAACCTGAAAACATCACCTTGGGGAAGGGCTTTGTCCCTTAAGAAATTATAAATATTTCATTTTCCCTCTTCTCTCCTGCCTTGTCAGCCCCGAGATGGAATTATCGATGGGGCCTGGGTGATGGACAGATTGGCGTGGTTCTGTATTGATGAGTTAATAGATTGTTGGCTCTTTTTTCCATTCTCTGAAAAAAAGAAGTCTTGACAGCTGTTTTCGCTGTCGTCAGGGTGGGTGGAGGCTGCCGCGGAAGGTGATAGAAAGTAAGGTCTTAGTTGGTGGGGGTGGCATCGTTAGACAACCCTGTCAGCTCGACCTTGAACATTGATCCTGAATCCAACCACCTCCCACTCTCTCTGCTGCAGCCCCCCGGTCCAAGACCCCTTCATCTCCTGCCTGGGTCATGGCAGAAGGCTCCTCACTGGCCTCCCTGCTCCTGTCCTCACCCCTCAACCCATCCTGCATCCAGTAGTCAGAGGCACCATTTCAAAATATAAGCCAGATCCTGCCACTGCTCGGCCCCAGACCCTCAGATGGCCCCATCGCATCCGAGGCCCAGAGCCCTTACTGCGGTGCCAGCACTCTCTGCCCTCATGCCCTCCTCTGTCCTTTCCTCTCTTTTTTCTAGCCATGGTCTGTGAGGTCCTTCCATTCCTCAAACTCTCCAAGCGTGGCCTCATCCTTGGGTGTTTGCATCTGCCATTCCCTTTACTGGAATGCTCTTCCCACGGATGCCCCTCAGCCCCCAACTCATGTCCTCATTTCACGTCTCTGTCCGAATGGCCCCTGCACAGAAGCCTTCCCCGACTACCCTGCATAAATACCCCATTCCCCTCTAGTTCCTCCCCCAGGTCTGTTTTTCTGCACAGCACTTACCACTTCTTGATGTTACTTACAGTTATTTATTTGCATGTTGACCATTTCTCTTCTTAGAACAGAAGCTCTAGGAAACCCATGAGGGCAGACTTGTTCATGGTTGTATTATTATTATTATTATTATTATTATTATTTTGAGACTCTTCTTTTGCCCAGGCTGGAGTGCGTGGTGCTCACTGCAACCTCCACCTCTCGGATTCAGGTGATTCTCCTGCCTTAGCCTCCCGAATAGCTGGGATTACAGGCATGTGCCACCATGCCTGGCTAATTTTTTATATTTTAGTAGAGATGAGGTTTCAACATGTTGGCCAGGCTGGTCTGAAACTCCTGACCTCAGGTGATCCGCCCACCTCAGCCTCCCAAAGTGCTAGGATTACAGGCGTGAGCCACTGCGCCCAGATAGACTCATAGATTTTTATCACTGGATAGCTGTGTGACCAAGGGCAAGTTGCTCAACCACTGTGCCCAGCCCATGGCTGTATTCTTCTTACCTTGAACAAGGCCAGCAAATTACAGTCTGTGGATAAAGCCTGCTCACAGGCATTTGTAAATAAAGTTTTATTGTCACACAGCCATACCTGTTCATTTCTGTATGATGTACAGCTGTGTTTGCTCTGCAATTGCAGAGCTGAGGAGTTGTGACAGAGACAGGAGGGCTTGCAAAGCTGAAAATATCTACTATCTGGCTCTTTACAGAAAAAGTTTACTGACCCTGGCTTAGAACAATGCCTGACAGAAAGCAGGTGTTCAGTATTTATTTATAGAATGAATGAATGAATATGAGATCTAGTATGTTTTAAAAACCAGACTGACCAGCAGGTTAAATGACCAGGCACTGCAGCCATATGCAATTTTTGACCATTGAGGAAATGTTCTTTTTCAGGAGGACTCTCCTGTCCATCAGAACTCTCTCAGTTGCAAATAATAAGAAATCTAACTTGATTGGCTTGAGCCAGAAAAGGAAATTTGTTAGCTCATGAACTGAAAAGTCTAAGGTAGACTACTTCAGGCACAGTTGGATCCAGGGGCTGGTCCTCCCAGGTTCAAGGCCAGAGAAAGGGAGAGTCTCTCCTCTTCCTGGGAGCATGTCTTTGGGTTAGCTGGTTAGCTTTCAGAGCCTCAGTTTTCTATCTGTAAAGTGGGAGGAATAGTGGCCCTGCCTCAGAAGGTAGCTGCAAGGGTGAAATGAGTCAATCCAAGTGAAGTGGGCTGGATTTTATTTTATTTTTATTTATTTATTTTTGAGACAGGGTCTGACTGTGTCATTCAGGCTGGAGTTCAGTGGCACGATCTTGGCTCACTGCAACCTCTGCCTCCCAGGCTCAAGCCATCCTCCCCCCTCAGCCTCCTGAGTAGCTGGGATTGCAGGCATGCACCACCAGCCTGGCTAATTTTTTGTAGAGATGGAGTTTCACCATGTTGCCCAGGCTGGTCTAGAACGTCTGAGCTCAAGTGATCCTCCCATCTCAGCCTCCCCCAAAGCGCTGGAATTACAGGAATGAGGGACTGTACCCAGTCTGGGCTGGATTTAAAAATATTCACTTGTGAATCCCCAGAACCTGTGAATATGTAACTTTACATGGCAAAAGGCATTTTGCAGATGTGATTATATTCAGGATCTTGAGATGGGGAGGTGATCCTGGATTATGTGTGAGCCCAGTGTCATCACAAGGGGCCTTCTAAGAGGGAGGTGGGAGAGTCAGAGTTAGAGAAGGAGATGTGATGATGGAAGCAGAGGTCGAGAGAGAGAGAGAGAGCTTGGTGAGAGAGAAGATGCTCTACTGCTGGCTTTGAAGACAGATGAAGTGGCTACAAGCCCAGGAATTCAGGAGGCATCAAGAATCTGGAAAAAGCAACGACATGGATTCTCCCCTAGAGCCTCCAGAATGAATGCAGCCCTACCAGCAACTTGATTTTAATCCAGTGAGACCTACGTTAGCCTTCTGACCTCCAGAACTGTAAGATAATACATTTTGCATTGTTTTAAGCCACTAAGTTTGTGGCAATTTGTTACAGCAGCAAGAAGAGGCTAATACAGCAGGTAAGGCACTTATCACTGTGTCTGGCATGTAGTAAGCCCTTTGTAGACACGAGCTTCTATCATTATTGGTTAGATGTTATTAGATGTTACAATATTCCCCACCTGTACCATTCTGGCTCCTCTTGGATCAGCTGAGCTATCTCAGACGGAACCCTAGGGTCATTCCCAGTCCCTGAAACTGTGTGACATCCCCAGGAGGTGCCAGGATTGGGGTTGGCTTCCTAGGAGATTCATCTGGGATCCACAGCTGACCTAGATCTGCATGGGGTCTAAAAGCCATCTCCCAAGTCCCCAGCCAGTGAGCTTTCCTTCAACTGGGCATCTCCATCACCTCCCTCCCTACCACATTATCCCCTTTAATCCCCTCCCCACCAAGGTATTTTTAAACCACTCCCTTTTCTACTCCCTATTGATCTTCAACCTGTTGCTCCCCAAAAGCAATTTGTGGCAGGGCCCAATACATTCACCAGGTCTTTTGTCACCATCTCTCCTTTGCTCATTGAGGTCAGCAGCAGGATTCCAGGCTGGCCAAGGTATAATCTCCGGCTCCTCCAAGCAAAAGCTCTCAGTGGTTCCATTTCCTGACGGTGGAATGTTCTCTCATTTCAGCATGAGGGGCCATCCTTCTGTCATTTTGGCTGAAGGCTGGTCCCCAGAAACAGCTACAAAGTCCTGTGTCCTTGTGCTCATGGGATCCGGGCAAGAGATAGCTTCTGCCACCCTGGCCTCAGCAGGGGAGGAAGCTGCCTGCAGGGGCTGCCTGAATGGGATGCTGTTTACATATAAGTTTATTTTATTTATTTCACATTCACATACATGGCCCTTAGTTTGTACCAGACATCATGTTTTAAGTGCTGCCCACAGATTAACTTAACTTTCTTTTCTTTATTTTTAAAATTAAATAAAAATTGTATAGATTTATTGTGTACAACAGGATGTTTTGAAATATGTATACTTCGTGGAATGGTTTAATTGAGCTAATGAATAGCTTACTTAATTTTCATAGCAACCCGGTGGGGTCTGTGTGATTATTCTCTCCATTTTTAAGTGGGGAAATGGATGCACAGAAAAGTTAAGTAGCTTTTGCCCAAGGTCACATAGTCAAGGTGGAGCTGGGGTTTGAACCCAGGCAGTCTGTGTGACAGTCACTACCCTATGTGCCTCTCAATCCATGGTAACAAGAGTTCTTTTCTTTTCTTTTCTTTTTTTTGAGACAGAGTCTCAATCTGTCACCCAGGCTGGAGTGCAGTGGCGCGATCTTGGCTCCCTGCAACCTCCGCTTCTGGGTCCAAATGATTCTCCTGCCTCAGCCTCCTGAGTAGCTGGGACTACAGCCGTGTGCCACCACACTTGGCTAATTTTTGTGTTTTTAGTAGAGATGGCATTTTGCCATTTTGGCCAGGCTGGTCTTGAACTCCTGACTTCAAGCGATCCACCTGCCTGGGTCCCCCAAAGTGCTGGGATTACAGGCATGAGCCACTGTGCCCGGCCCCGTTTCTATTTGTCTTCCCACCGTCATTCTTTCCTCTCCTATACTGACCCTGCCTCCTCCATCCTGGGGTGGGGCATGACTCTAAGCCCTTAATCTGGAGCCAGCTGCCTGGGACTTGAATAATGTTCCTCAGCCTTGTCCCTAACACTGCCATTATCATTTTACAACCTGCCCATTGATCCCTTGATCTTTACAATGACTCCTGGAAGGAGGTGCTGTCATCATCATCCTCAGCCCCACAGGATAGGTTGAAGAACCTGAGATGAAATCCAGGCTCTGAGAGGAGAGGTTGCTGCTAGCCCAAGGCCACCCAGTTAGGAAGCCGCTGAGATCCCTGGCATTCTGGCTCCAGGGTGGACCTGGGCTGTGGTGTCCCTGTAGTAGGGGATGGTCACATTTCCTCGGGCTGCTGTAACAAATGCCACACACTGGGTGCCTTAGGATAACAAACATGTATTGTCTCACAGTTCCAGAGGCTAGAAGTCCAAAGTCAAAATGTGGGCAGGGCCATGCCTGCTGGGAAGACTCTAGGGGAGGATCCTTCCTGGCGTCCTCCAGTGGGATTCTGGTGGCCGCTGGCCATCCTTTACGCTCCTTGTGGCTTCATCACTTCAAGTCTCCATCTTCACATGATGTGGCTGCTATATCTCCTCATGTCATCTTCCCTCTGTGCATGTCTGCCCCTGTGTCTGCCTGTATGTCCACATTTCCCCTTTTGGTGGTGGCTCATGCCTGTAATCCTAGCACTTTGGGAGGCCGAGGCAGGCAGATCTCTTGAGAAGCTCAAGAGTTTGAGACCAGCCTGGGCAACATAACAAGACCTCTTCTCTACCAAAAGAGAAAAAAAAAGGTGTATATATAAAGATAAGGATACCAGCATATTGTATCAGAGCCGACACTAAGAACCTCATTTTAACTTTTTACTTGACTATCTCTGTAAAGATCCAAATGAGGTCACATTTTGAGGTCCCGTGGATGAAGACTTCAACATGCTGTTTTGGGATATGCACTTCAATTTATAATAGTGATGTTGTCACTTGGGGCAGGAAGGATGCTTCCAAGCAGCCCTAGAACCCAGGATCTTTCCTTCCAAGGAAAGGGATCGATGGAATTCTAATCACTGGAACTTTGTATTCCTTCATCAGGCAGCTTGTCTGTCACTGTGTTTCCCATGAGACTGTAAGCTCTTTGAGGACAGGAATGTGCCTCCCCAGTGCCTAGCATTCAGCGGGCACTCAATAAACACTTGAGCGAATGAAAGAATAAGTGAATGCAGTGCCACCTCCCAGTTCTTCCGTCCACCCAGGGCCAAAAGGCAAACTGATTTGTCCAAAGTCTTGAATCTGTGGCTGAGCTGTTAGCATTTCAGCATCACAGAAACCCCTCTGCCCAGCTGCCAGCCCAGCAATGGTGAAATTATTAGATCCCATTATGAATTGGATTTTAATCTCCTGTAAATAGTCCTGCCATTATAGTGTCATAAGTAGCAATTAGGACCCCCTCCCTTCCTTCTTGCAGCTGCAGAGACGTTCTGATCTCCCCAGCAGAGTTAGGGGGGCTGCAGGCAGGGTGGGGACTGACGCTTAAGAAATTTACCAGTTTGGGCAGATCACAACCAGCCCCCTCCCTTCGCAATCTAGTCACTTGGGGAGGAGCCTCAGGGCAGGATTTGAGAGGGTGGCAGGGGTGAGGGGGCATCTAATGGAATGAGCCCGGGAGTTGCTCTTTGGTATGAAATGAAGCTTCTAAGTCAGCGTTTCTTAGGGATGGGTCCCGTGCCAGGGTTTTGGAAGACTATGACCCAATATCCCACGTGATATACCAGGTGGGTGTGCAACGTGCAGCTCTTCTGTCCATGCCTGGATGACCCTATCATCTGCTACCTTCCAGCTGACCTCATCTTCCTCTCCATCCCTCCAATCTCTTTTCCACATGGCAGCCAGAGATAGCTCCTGTCCACAGAAGCCAAAGATTGGCAGAGGGGGAAACTGAGGCAGAGCGTTATTCTGTACCTTTGCACAGAGTCCTGAACAATTGGGCAAGTCAGGAAAAGGGGCACTATCTCCCTTTTCTAGTTCTCTTTTGTTCAAGCTCCTCTCCCGGAAACCTCCACCTCTCCCTCCCCCACCCCCCACCCTTCCCGCTCAGATGGGGGGCCCTGCAGAGCTAGGGGTGGGGCTTGAATGGTGGGGACTCTGCCTGGGGAGGAGGCAAGACCCTTGAATGCAGGAAGTTCACTCTCACTTTCCCCTCTGGCTGGTGACCAGGCTTTCTTCTCTCTGGGCCTCAGTTTCCCTATCTGCAAGTAGGGAGGCAGTTTAAATGCCTGTAAGGTGGAGAGGGAGGGAGTTACTGTGACTTAACCCTCCCTGCAAAGACAAAGCAGAGATACCTTTCATTTTCTGAAGTGTTAGGGGCCCAGGACCAGCGACAGGGAGAGTCCCAGCATCCCAGGGAGACTGCATGAGGCTTTCCCAAACCATGGACAAGAGAAACATTCCTCCTCCACTGCGGCCACCTGGATTTGCATCCCAAAGGCCAGCCCTCCCTGGATAGGGCTAGGCAGGGGTGAAGGGGTTAATAAACAGACTGGCCACCTCTCCCCAGAGGCCCCCACCTCCAGGTGGGGCTGCCCTGACTAACAGAATGAGTTTGGAGGGCTCCATCTGGTCTCCAGTGGGTCTTGCCTGCAGGACTTAGAGTGACTGACAGGTCACAGCAGGCCTGGCTCTGGCTGTGGGACGGTGACCAGGGGAAGGCAGCAGGGAGTTCTGAGCAGATCTAGGGCTGGCCAGGATATCACGTGGAAAGAGATTCTGGGTCCAAGCAGGGGACTCTGGAAGTGGACTTTTAGAACCAAATCTTAGACCACACTTATCAAGGACTCTTGCTCATTCGTTGATTCAACAAACATGCATTTAGCACCTACTATGTGTCAGGTGCTGTGTGAGGCACTGGGAATACATCAGGGGACAAAAGAGACAAAAATCCTGACACTAGTGGCCTTCCCTGCGTGCTCCTCATGGTGTGGCTTCTTTCCATCATTATGTTTGTGAAATTTGATCTCATTGCTGACTAATATTCCATTATATGACTAAAACACATTTGATTTATTTATTCTGTCATGGATGGCATTAAAAGAAAAACCTTAGACAAATGAAAGTTAACAGAGTTTAACTGCCCAAAGAACGATTTGTGAACCGGGCAGTCCCCCAACCAGAATAGGTTGACAGAGACTTTGGTGCTGCCTCATGGTTGAACAAGAATTACGGAATTAAGAAAAAGGAAAGCTACATACAGAAAATGGAAGTGAGGCACAGAAACAGCCAGATTGGTTATACAGCTTGGCATTTGCCTTATTTGAACATGGTTTGAACAGTGGATGCCTTTAATGGGCCCAAACTTGGTGAATAGCACAAGACCAGGTTACAGCCTGTTTATACACCAAGTTAGGTTAGTTCACTATGCACAAAGAGACCTTTAGGTGGAATTTAAAATATATAAGAAGGCAGGTTTAAGCTGCCTTCACCTAATTTAACAAGGGGTTTTGGGTGGTTTCCTATGTTGGGCTCTCTGTCCATCCTTGACTATCTTGTCTTTGTGCCCACATCTCCCCCTCTACCCATACCCCTGCTTTCCCTAAACCTCCCTGAGGACAGAGATTGGCTGATCAATGGTTATCCATTGACCAGAGCAAAATTGTCAGAGATGTTTGAATCAGAGCAACTCCATCTTGAATAGGGGCTGGGTAAAATAAGGCTGAGACCTACTGGGCTGCATTCCCAGGAGGTTAAGGCATTCTAAGTCATAGGGTGAGACAGGAGGTCGGCACAAGGTACAGGTCACAAAGACCTTGCTCATAAGACAGTATGTGGTAAAGAAGCCAGCCAAAACCCACCAAAACCAAGATGGCAACGAAAGTGACTCTGGTCATCCTCGCTGCTCATTATACGCTAATTATAATACATTAGCATACTGTAAGACACTCCCACCGGTGTCATGACAGTTTACAAATGCCATGGCAACGTCAGGAAGGTACTCTATATGATCTAAAAAGGGGAGGAGCCCTCAGTTCTGGAAATTACCCACCCCTTTCCCGGAAAATTTACGAATAATCCACCCCTTTCCCGGAAAATTTACGAATAATCCACCCTTGGTTTAGCATATAATCAAGAAATAACAATAAAAATAGCCAACCAGTAGCCCTCGGGGCTGTTCTGCCTATGAAGAAGCCATTCTTTTATTTATTTATTTATTTATTTTTTGAGATGGAGTCTCACTCTGTCACCCAGGCTGGAGTGCAGCGGCACGATCTCGGCAAACTGCAACCTCTGCCTCCCAGGCTCAAGAGATTCTCCTGCCTCAGACTCCCGAGCAGCTGGGATTACAGGCATGGGCCATCATGCCCAGTTAATTTTTGTATTTTTAGTAGAGATGGGGTATCGCCACGTTGGCCAGGCCGGTCTAGAACTCCTGACCTCAAGTGATCCGCCCACCTCAGCCTCCCAAAGTGCTGGGATTACAGGCATGAACCACTGCGCCTAGCCCATTCTTTTATCTCTTTACTTTCTTAATAAATTTGCTTTCACTTTATGGTTTTGCCTTGAATTCTTTCTTGCGCAAGATCCAAGAACCCTCTCTTGGGGTCTGGATCAGGTCCACTTTCCAGTAACAGAATGGGGTTCCCTTTAGGCCGGGCTGTGCTTTCCATTTGCCACAGTCTCCTCCACTCCCTATCGCCCCACACTCTCCAAAGTCATTCCTTTGCTTTTTCTGCCTGGCACCTGAGGTTACAAGGGGTCTTTAACCCCTGGTGGGGCAGCCGGCGGTGTGGGAGGTTTCCAGGCTGAATAATTCCCCGTGCCCTCTGCATCCACCCACTGTGCCCGGCTCAGGGACCAGCGCACAGAGGGCAGGTTCCTGTGCAGTTCCCAGGCCCAATGTCTCCCAACGTGGAGCAGGAAGAGAAGGGGGATCTAAACAACAGAAGAGGGGGGCATAATTACATAGGAAGAGGCAGCGATAAAACGATAATGGGCGCGTTTTGACCCGGGTTAACCAGTTCTGGAGCTGTGAAGTAACTCTAAAACGCGTGATGGAGGCCAAGGGGCCGCCGCCCGGGCTGCAGCTGAAACGGCGCTTTCACAAACAAGACGTAAATTGGATGCAAACATCTAATTAACCTTCTCCCTCAGTTCCCTCCGCAGAGGGGGAGGTGGGCCTCCTAGGGCTCCCAGCGCCTGTCTTCCCTCGGGGGATGGATTTGGGGGAAGGGAGGAGGAGGGGAGGCAGGCGCGAGGGGAGGAAGCCAGGCGTTTTCTTTCTTTTTTCTTTTCTTTCTTTCTTTCTTTAACGGGCTCCCCTCCGGGTAGGGGCTGAGCTAAACCTCCAGCGCTGTTGGTTTTCTCAGGCTTGATCTGAGACCTGCATTCCTGTTTAATAAGCCCCAACACGCTTTGCAAACTCACATTATTCTAGGGCCAGGTATGTGGCCCTAGAATCGGGGGAAATGGAGAGTTTAGGGGGTGTTGTTGTCTTTTTCCCCTTTGGTGGGGATGCGATACTGCAAAGCCTACTTCTTGTGAAAATTCTCCAGCCCTCTGAGTTCTCGGGACACCGAGCATCCCGGGCCATCGGACGCAGCAGGTGCAAGAGTGCATTCACAGCGGCCACAGCAGGAGCTGGGGCCAGTCGCCACCCCTGAGAGTTGTGTGACCTGGGGAGCCTTAATTAGCTTCTTGGCACTTCATTTATTCACTCAACAAATATTTATTGAGCACCTACTGTGTACTAGGCCCCGTTCTTGCCCATTTAGAAGCTAAAAATAGGTGATGAGAATACAGTAGTAAACAAAACAGATTTTCCCCCAAACCCAAACAAACAACGGCCTCTCCCTGCAAAAAGCAAAGCTCTGTCCTCCTGGGTCTTTGGGAGTGTGGGCAGTGGGCTCCCACATTTTATTCTGTCCCTGTGGGAGAAAGAGAATAAAGGAGACGGTAGCATGGTGTCTGAGAGCTTGAATGCTGAAGTTTGAATCCCAGTTCTTCTACTTATAAGCTGCGTGACCTAGTGCAAGTTCTACATTCTCTATGCTCAGTTTCTCTTCTTTCCTCTCCCTCCCTCCCTCCCTCCCTTCCTTCCTTCCTTCCTTCCTTCCTCCCTTCCTCCCTTCCTCCCTCCCTCCCTCCCTCCCTCCATCCCTTCCTCCATCCCTTCCTCCATCCCTTCCTCCCTTCCTTTATTTTTTCTTTTTTTTTTGAGATGGAGTATTGCTCTGTTGCCCAGGCTGGAGTGCAGTGGCACAATCTCGGCTCACTGCAACCTCTGTCTCCTGAGTTCAAGGGATTCCCTTGCCTCAGTCTCCCAAGTAGCTGAGACTACAGGCACGTGCCACCATGCCTGGCTAATTTTTGTATTTTTAGGAGAGATGGGGTTTTGCCATGTTGGCCAGGATGGTCTTGAACACCTGATCTCAGGTGATCCACCTGCCTTGGCCTCCCAAAGTGCTGGGATTACAGGCGTGAGCCACCACACCCGGCCTCTTTTCTTTTTTTTTGGAAACAGGGTCTTGCTTGGTCTCCCAGGCTAAAGTGCAGTGATGCCATCACTGCTCACTGCAGCTTCCACCTTCTAGACTCACACAATCCTCCTGCTTCAGCCTCCCAAGTAGCTGAGACCACACTCAGTTAATTTTTGTATTTTTTGTAGAGACAAGGTCTCATTGTGTTGTCCAGGTTGGTCTCCATCTCCTGGGCTCAAGCAATCCTCTGGCCTCGGCCTCCCAAAGTGCTGGGATTACAGATGTGAGCCACTGTGCCTGGCCAGGATTTTCTTCTTTTCTTTACTTTTTAAATATTTATATATGGAAAACCTGAAAAAAATAGTACAAAACTCCCTTATGATCTTAAATGTTAACATTTGCATAGCTTTCTCTCTCTCTGTCTCTGTCTCTTTCTCTTTCTCTCTCTCTCTCTATATATACACATACACACATAATTTTTTATTAAAACTTTGTAAGAGTAAGTTGCAGACATGGTGGCCATTTACCGCTAAGCACTTCAGTGTCTGTTCTCTAAAAATGAAGACATTCCTTTATATACTGTACAGTACAATGATCAAAACCAGGAGATTAACATTGATACCATACTATGATCTAATCTACAGACCTTATTCAGATCTTTCTATATGTCCCGATAATGTCCCTCATAGCAAACTGTCTTGCTGGATTGCACGTTGCCTTCAGTTGTCATGTCCTTTAATCTGGATCCAGTTCCTCAGGCTTCAGGTTTTATGACATTGATGTTTTTGAAGCATCCAGGCCAATTGTTCTGTAAGATGTCCTTCAATCTGAGTGTGTCTGATATTTTCGTGTGATTTGATTCAGGTGGTGCATTTTGTCACGAATCCCATACTGGTGACACTGTTCTTCTTGGTGCCTCGTATCAGGAGCCACATGGTGTCATCTGTCCCAGAGTGATGTGAACCTGAAGCACTTGCTCAAGGTGGTGCCTGCTAGGTTTTCCTACTGTACATTTATGGTTTTTCCTTCTGTAATTTACAACCGCATTGTCGGGGAGGTGCTTTGAGATGATGTAAATATCTGGTTACTCCTTGGATGTTGACTCACTTGTTTTAGCATAGTTTGATGATTCTTGCCTGAATCAATGATGATGATGATGTTTCCTAAATGCAGTTTTCTAACTCCAGTCTTTTTTCTACATTTATTAGTTAGCTTTCTAGTGTAAAGAAGAAAATTCCTTACTTTTAAATTTACATATGTCAGCATAGGCTCATGAACTCTTATTCAATAGATAATCCTCTTTTATTATGACTATTTATTTAGTCAACATTTCTTTTTTGAGACAGGGTCTTACTCTGTCTCTCAGGCTGGAGTACAGTAGCATGATCATAGCTCACTGCAACCTCAAACTCCTGGGCTCAAGCAATCCTCTTGCCTTAGCCTCCCAGGTAGCTGGAACTACAGGTGCAAACTATCATGCCTGGCTAATTTTTAAATTAATTTGTAGAGATGGGGTCTTGCTGTGTTGCCCAGGTTGGTCTTAAGTTCCTGGCTTCAAGAGATGCTCCTGCCTTGGCCTCCCATAGTGCTGGGATTATTGACATGAGCCACTGTGCCTGGCAGATGTCGCCAGTTGGTTCCTCCACTTGTCCTAGATTTGGCTAATGGGAATTGCTTCAGGTTGGCTCCTGTGCCTTTTTTGACGTGTCCTCACCACTCTTTGAGTACCTCTTTACAGTCTTGCACAGGCAGGTGTTTCAGGCTCTCCTTGTGCTGTTCCTGTCACAGCCCTGTAATCAGCCATTTCTCCAAGGAGCCCTGGTTCCTTTTAGCGGGGAATAGTATGTAGATGCCATGATTTGGGTTCCAGGTGTGCTCACTGTTACTGGGGTGTTACTGCATGTGGGCCCTTTCAGCACACTACCTGGGAGCCTCAGTTTCTTCATCTGTTAAATGGGAAACAGTCATCCCTACCTCCTAGACTGTATGCAGATTAAATGAGCCAGTACCTGAAATGTGCTTAGAGCCCTGTCTGACATGTGGACAATGCTATCCAAGTGTTTGTTAGGCAAATAAGAAATACATATAGTGTATTAGATAGTAGTAAGTACTCCAGAGAAAAATGAGCCACAGGGTGCTGCAATGTTATGTAGGATGGCCAAGGAAGGCTTTACTTGGAAGATGGCATTTGAGAAGAGATCTGGGGAGGTGAAGGAGTAAGCCATGCCCATATCTATGGGGAGCAGGCAGAAGAGACAGCTAGTGCAAAGAAGACCCTGAGGCAGGAATATACCCTGCCTGAAAGTAGATGCCAGCTCCCCAGACTCCAGGGAAACCATATTTTTTATTTTTAAAAATTACTTCTTCTTCTTCTTATTATTATTATTTTAGAGACAGAGTCTTGCTGTGTCACCTAGGCTGGAGTGCAGTGGTGCCACCATAGCTCATTGCAGCCTCAAACTCCTGGCCTCAAGCAATCCTCCCATCTGGGCCTCTCAAAGAGCTGGGATTATAGGCATGAGCCACCGTGCCTGGCCTGGAAACCAAATTTCTAATTGGAGGCACAATATTACTTGGTAGGAGGGTGATGTGGGGGAGTCTGGAAACCAAAAACCAGGCTCAAGAACCTTCAAGAGCCACATCGCTATCACGGATCAAGGGCCCACCCATGGCTGGGACTGTCCTAAGCACTCCCCTTAGATTATCTCACTTAGTCCCCATGACACCCTTGAGAGGGAGTCACTCTCATTAGCCCCATCTTACAGACGACACACTGGAGGCGTAGGCTGAGTGATTTCATTTGGCCAGAGTGCAGCTAGTAACTGGGGGACGGGGCAGAACTGGACTCCAAAGTCCAGTTCCGAAAGTGGCAAAGAGGCGCGTGCTTCTTTCACACCTCTCCCCTGTTAGGGCCACTTGTCCTGACCATCGGCTGTGCCGGCCTCAGTTTTCCCATTTGCCAAACAGCAGTGCCTCCTTCTTCCCTGGGTGGTGAGGGCTGGACTCAAGCCAGACTCAGAGGCGAGGTGTGCAGGGCCCGGGCTTGCTCCCTCCGAGCAGGGGCGGTGGGCTTCCCGCATGGCTTCCCTGCCGCCGCCCCTCCCCCACGGCCCTGCCGACGGCGCCCCCCTTCCCTCTTTTCACCCCATCTTCCCCAGGGGCAGCCAGCCAGCAAAAAGAGTCCCTCGGCAGCAATGATGAAGATGGATGTGTGATTGATTCGGCCCCCCTTCCCTCTGCCCTTCTGGTAGAAAATTAAAAGACCATTTGTTAAGGGGCGAAAGTCCTCAGGTGCATCCCGAGGCTGGACAATTTGTCTCTGTGAAAAGGACGCTATTATCAGAGAGGCTGGATGCAGGCGGAGGGCGGGCCCGAGGGGCGGCTTGGGAGGGGGAGGCTCGGAGGAGCGAAGGGGCTCAGGCAGGGGTGGGGGGGCGGAGGCCGAGACAATGGGGGGAAAAATAATAAATACATCGGAGCGTGCCAGCCGCGGGGATCCTGGCTGGAGAGGCGCGAGGGGCAGGGGGGCTGCTTGGGGCTGGAGGAGCTCATGTGCTCGGGCCTCGGAAGCCAATTCCTTTTTCATGACCCTTGTCCAGGACCAGAAGGGTGTCGCCGGGGAGCTCTGCCGCCCTCCATTAAGGAGGGTTTGTAAATGACCCTCTTTAAGGAGCGAGTTTCTCTTTATAGACCTCGGTGCAGAGCGGGGAGAGAGGAGGGGGGCCCTGAGTGAGCCCCCTCCGCGCTCTTGGGGGTCATTAAGTGATTAGAAAGAAGGGGCCGGTTCTCCAGCCGCCATTCAGATGAGGAGATGCATTTGTCACCGGGCGCTATTATTTATTTATTTATTTATTTATTTTTAAAAGGTTGCATTAGGCCCCTCCTGCCATCTCCTGGCTCCCTTTGTGTGTTCCGAGTTCCTTCTGGGGCTGCCTCCTCTTGCATCCCACAGGCAAGGTGCCCTGTTCCTCTTGCACCCACTCTGATCCCACTCCCCATCTTCTCACCGCCTCTCTGTCCACCCCAACAACACACCTGCCCCATCCCCTCGTTCTGCTCTTTACTCATGGCCTCTTACCCTCCTGGAGGCTCCTGGCACTTAATACCCAACCTCCGTCAGGATATTACGATGAGGACCTGCCCCACCAGCGTGGACCCCGACA